>NC_000001.11:10000-207666 GCF_000001405.40 Homo sapiens | reverse complement strand
ATCTGTACTTAGATTTCACTGAATTTACATTGAAAAGGTAGGTTCACATACCCAAGTTGTCTCACACATACCTAAATGTTTTCTGGTAACTGGATGGAGTATCAGTTTTTATATTTATCTTTGCATTAGCTAAAAAACAAATTAATAGTTCAGGTCCTCAGCCGCACGCAGGCAGTTTTCTCCACCGTCCAAATGGTTGCCCGAATTCACCCAGACCCCGCCGTCCTCTGCTTTTTCATGCAGACATTCAAACAACTGCCTCCCTTCCTCCTGGCACCCCCATCCCATCGCCAGCAGCCTCCGAACCAGTTTCCCTCCTGTCCCCATCTCAGCCACCCATGACTCACACACACATCTGTCTCCCCTGGCCCACTTTTCATCTAGTCCTCATAATCTATGCATAAACATTAACATACCACAGAGTCAATCTGCATACTGATTACTTCTGCTCTGGTCAAATTCTTGCTTTCAGGATCAGGAGGCTTTCTCCCCACACCAAACTGGGCCTGAGGAAATAGTGTCTTGTCTTCCTGTCACCCCTCCCGTAGTTGCATGTCTAATGAGACAAGGGGTGTCTCAGGTGAAGCAGGACAGGGAGGATGCCAGCACTTGGGTGGTAGAGGTTTGAGGAGTGCCTGTTGGGGGATGTGTTGGGGAAGGAGGACTTTTCACATATGGCTCATTGTGTCGGGATGATTTCGTTGTTAAATAAGCACCTACAGGATGATTTCACATTCCATACTTCTAAGTTTTTATAATTTAAATTCTTTCCGCCAGGCTGGGTTTTTTTTTTTTTTTTCCAAACTTTAAATCTGTGGCTAGAATTGGTTTGATTTACATAATCCTGCCCCTGAGATTTAGCCCCACCCCTGAGAGCCCCCTCAGAGCCACCCACAGCCAGGACACCTCTGCTGGCCTCCCCTTCCCCAGCCTTCCAACTTGTGGCAGGCCCCTGGCTCTGGCCTCCCCCTATATGGGAATGAGCCAGCTGCACCGCTGCTGACAGTGGCTGGGATAATCCTCCCTGAGCTGTTCCAAGGATTAGTCCTGCTGCCCTGTGCCCAGCTCCCACACAACGGGGTTTCGGGGCTGTGGACCCTGTGCCAGGAAAGGAAGGGCGCAGCTCCTGCAATGCGGAGCAGCCAGGGCAGTGGGCACCAGGCTTTAGCCTCCCTTTCTCACCCTACAGAGGGCAGGCCCTTCAGCTCCATTCTCCTCCAAGGCTGCAGAGGGGGCAGGAATTGGGGGTGACAGGAGAGCTGTAAGGTCTCCAGTGGGTCATTCTGGGCCCAGAGATGGGTGCTGAAGCTCCCACACCTGCCTGTGAAAATGGATTCCTCTCTCACCTGGGAGAGCCAGGTGCTGCCCCGAGAAGGATGCATTTATGGCTTCATGAAGTCTTTCCTGACCCCCGATGCTGCTGACTATAGGTAAGTCTGAGCAAATCTGGGGGAGCCTCATCTTGGCATGAGAAAGAGATGGCTTCTTCTAAGCCCACTGGCTGTGATCCCAGGATTATAACACATTCTGGCTCAAGTCCAGACTATTTGTAGAACACAGGAGATCCTCCATGAGAGGTAGTATAATATAGAAGATATGTGTGCTTACTAAGAGGCTGCCTGTCTGACCTTGGACAAGTTCTTTTTATTTATTTATTTATTTTTTATAGAGACAAAGTCTCACTATGTTGCTCAGGCTGGTCTTGAACTCCTGGCCTCAAGCGATCCTCCCACCTTAGCCTCCCAAAGTGTTGGGATTATAGACATGAGCCACTGCACCTGGCCAACCTTGGGCAAGTTCTTAAACCCTTCAAAGCCTCATTTTTCTCCAATCATAAAAGGGAAAGATGGTAATATTTTCCCCGCCAAATTCTTGTAAGTATTAAACATTGTATATGTATTTTGAACACGATTAAGCTCTAAACACTTGTTAGGAAGCAGGAGTAGCATTTGAAACAAACAGCTCTTTTCCCACAGGTCGGATGCCCTCACAGAATTGAGATTATGTACGTAAAACACCAGGTGCCTAACCCGGCACAGAGCAGGAGGGCTAAGCGTGACATCCAGCATGTGGTCAGTGGAATCCAGTATTCCTACCCACCTCTCTAGTCTCCCCTCCACCCCTCTCCCTTTCAGAGGCACCAAGCTGCTTGTGGTCTTGTCTATTCCCACTCCCTGCCCGACTGAACATTTTCTCTACCTCCTGATCATCAGCAGCAGAAACTGGCTGCTCTTCCTCCTGGGTAGACAGCCAGACTGTATTTCCCAGCTGCCCCTGCAGTGAGATGTGGCCATCGGAGCCAGCATTGGCCAATGGACTCTGCATGGGAGTGACGCATGCTGCCTCCAGGCTTGTCTCTAAAACCTCCCACGTGTCCTCCGCCTGCTCTTCCCACCTCCAAGGAGCACGGCAATTGTGGAAGACCCAGATTAGTGATGGCAGAACCATAGATGGGAGGAACCTGGGTCCCTGACTTAAAGTATCATGGATTTGGATGTTCCCTTAGTGAGAAATAAACTTCCATTGTGTTTAAGCCTTTATTTGTTTATAGTTGGTTACAGCAACTGCCTTCTTTTAATTAAAACACTCCTGCTGCTTCAAGTTGCTGGAATGCTTGTAACCCTGCCCTGCTTCACCAGGGTAACTCCTACTTGGCCTTTAAGTTTATCTCTGCTGTCACACCGTCCAGAAAGCCTTCTCCCAGCACCACAACCCCTCCACCAAGGGTTAGGTGTCTCCAGCAGATGCTGCACAGCTGGCTGCCCTTTGCCCACCCTCCCCTTCTTTCTCATAGAATCCTAGGACTCCTCTGTATCTAGAAGAAGTTGTGTGGTCCAGTGCTGGCCAAGAAGATGTGAGAGCAAGTCGCTGGGTGGAGATTCTTAGGAAAACTTCTTAAAAAGAACGAGACTGGGCTCCTTTCTGCCTTTTACCATTTTTGTGTATGCTTGCCTTCTTCCCACCTGGGACTCTGATGCAGCACCTGTGAATGGGCACACATATTACAACTCTTAGGCTGAAACCCACGTTCTCAGGCAGAGGTCTCTTGTGGGCATTTAGTGCTATAAATGTCTCTTTACACACTGCTTTAAATGCGTCCCAGGTCTTAGGGTATATACCCAAAGGATTATAAATCGTGCTACTATAAAGACACATGCACATGTATGTTTATTGTGGCAGTATTCACAATAGCAAAGACTTTGAACCAACCCAAATGTCCATCAATGACAGACTGGATTAAGAGAATGTGGCACATATATACCATGGGATACCATGCAGCCATTAAAAAGGATGAGTTCATGTCCTTTGCAGGGACATGGATGAAGCTGGAAACCATCATTCTGAGCAAACTATCACAAAGACAGAAAACCAAACACTGCATGTTCTCACTCACAGGTGGGAATTGAACAATGAGAACGCTTGGACATGGGGCAGAGAACATCATACACTGGGGCCTGTCAGTGGGTGGGGGGCTGGGGGAGGGATAGCATTAGAAGAAATACCTAATGTAAATGACAAGTTGATGGGTGCAGCAAACCAACATGGCACACTCATATCTATGTATCCAACCTGCACATTATGCACATGTACCCTAGAACTTAAGTATATAAAAAAAAAAGAAAAAAAACTTTCACCTTTTTCCAAAGTGTTGGGATTATGGGTGTGAGCAACCACGTCTGGTCCTTTTTTTTTTTTTAATGGAGGTGAAATTCACATAAGTTTGACCATTTTAAAGTGAACAATCAGTGGCATTCAGTACATTCACCATGTTGTGCCAACACTATCTCTATGTAGTTCCAAAACATTTTCATCAGCTCAAAATGAAACCTTGTACCCATGAAGCAGCCACTTCCCATTCTCCCCTCCCCTTAGCCCCTGGAAATCGGCTTTCTTTCTCCACGGATTTACATATTCTGTATATTTCCTATAAATGGAATTACACAATAGGTGACCTGTGTCTGGCTTCTTCCACTTAACCTAATGCTTTTGAGGTTCAGTCACATGGTGCCATGGATCAGCTCTGCCTTCCTTTTTATGACTAATACTCCACTGTATGTCCATATCACCATTTGTGTATTCACTCATTAATCTATGGACACAAGCCTCATTTTTAAGCACTTCAAATATGTTAACTCACTGAATCCTCACCACAAAGACAGATGCAGTTATTACATATTGATAGAGTGAAAACTGAGGCACAGGTAACATGCCTAGGATCACGTGGCTATGAAGCAGAAAGAGGACTCCAGCCGAGGCAGTCTAGTCCCAAAGTCCTTCCCTTCCTAGTAACCACTATGCTCTCCTGCCTCTCAGAGAACAACCCACATAGCACAACACGAGGGCCAAGCTGTCTGGTCTGTCTGGTGAAGCTTCAAATGCTGTTCATTTCAGATAAGGGGAGGTTCCTGGGCTGCAGAGGCTTCCTAGAGGAGGAAGACCATGTAAGGTCTAACTCAGGGCAGGTCAGGATGGTGTGAACTCACTCTGAACACAGTCACCGATGGGTGTTTATGAAAACTGGCTCTGGAACTCCCACAGGGAAGGTTCTTATCTTTGCGTGCACAACACAGAGCCCTCTGGGTAGACTTCTAGACCCAGGCCTCTTTCAAATACATTAGAAACCTCAGCAAGATAAACTATTTTCTGTCTGGCTGCATCTGTCTATCTGTTTAGAGAGCAGGACATTTCCATCCTCCTCTCTCCAGGCATCCTTGGAAGTCTTTCCCACAAGCAAGACATCTTGGTGAAATTTAATGCTGCGGAGGGAAGTGGTTTTCAGGAGAGAGGAGTCTGTTCCCGGAACTGTAGCACAAAAGCTAGAGGCTGAGTAGGAACATCTTAAACTAAGTCCTCAGTCTTATTTCCAGTTTTCTTCCTGTAGATCGGGGCTTAGGACACCCTGTCACATTTTCTTCACTCCTCCACCAGGAATTCCTAAAGTCCATGCTCTTGGATCCTGGCAAATCCAGGAGGCTGGGGGATGTGGCAAGCTTCAGCAAGACTGCCTGGGACCAACCCTGCAGCCTTAATTTCCCAGGCCCACTCAGCCCAGCTGGCCAGCAAAGGCAGGCAGGGCTTCCGTGTCCACACATGAGAATGACCTGCAGCTGTTCTTTGTCCAGGCTGAGGTCCAGGATTCCCATTGCAGCTCCTAGGAAATCTTTAAAATAAGGTCGGGGATGCGCCTGTCAGTAGATTAGGTAGGGAACTTTTATGAAGTTGAGGGTGAACCATCTGGAGGGTGAACTGGCTGGTGTGATTCTAGAACTGGGGGTGGTGCCTAGCAGTGCATTTGTGAGAAGACACAGCCAGGCTTGGTATATGATGTGGTGTGTGTGTATATTCACAGGCATCGTGGAGCATATACACTTTTTTTGTGTGTGTTGAAATAAACCTTACAGATTACCAAGTACTTTTTTTTTTTTTCTGAGACAGGGTCTCTCTCTGTCGCCCAGCCTGGAGTGCAGTGGTACAATCATAGCTCACTGCAGCCTCGATCTCCCAAGCTCAAGTGATCCTCCCACCTCAGCCTCCCATGTAGCTGGGACTACAGGTGTGTGACACCATGACTGGCTATTTTATTTTATTTTTGTAGAGATGGAATCTCACAATATTGCCCAGGCTGATCTCAAACTCTTGGGCTCAAGCAGTCCTCTCGCGTCAGCCTACCAAAGTGCTGGGATTACAGGCATGAGCCACCACGCCCAGCCAGATTACAAAATACTTTGACATCTTTTCTCTACAGCCCTCAAAAGGAGGCAGGGCAAGCACAATTAAATCCCATTACAAATGGGGTGACTGAAGCTCCATTCATGGCTTGCCCAGGGTCACACAAAGAATGAATAGCAGAGCCCTGAGCCTGTGTGCTTCCCTCTGTGCCAGGCTGCTTTACCCAGGCATGGGTGCACCTTGTGCATGGGACATTTCTCCTTTGTTGTGTCCTGAGTACCTTAAGCCACTCAGATATTGCTCAGGTGGAGTGAGGGGAAAATGTTTTCAGGTTGTATTAGTCAAAACAAAATACCACACACTGGGCGACTTTAAAATCATACATTTATCCCTCACAGTTCTGGAGGCTTGGAAGTCCAAGTTCAAGGTGGCAGCTGGACGGGTTCCCGGTGAGGGCTCTCTTCCTGGTTTGCAGACAGCCACCTTCTCTTCGCATCCTCACTTGGTGGGAAAAGACAGAGGAGAGAAAGAGAGAGAGAGAAAAATGAGATAGAGAGAGAGAGAGAAATGAGATAGAGAGAAATGAGAGAGAGAGAGAGAGAGAGAGAGAGAGAGGGAGACACAGAGACAATGCTCTCTTTTCTTACCAGATCTATAATGAGGGCCCCACCCCATGACCTCATCTAACCGTAATTACCTACCAAAGGCCCATCTCCACATACCATCACATTAGGGGTTAGGGTTTCAACATAAGCATTTGGAGAGGACATAAACATTCTGTCTACAACATGAGTGGAGATCCATCTCTTCTTTACCTCTGGTAAGGGGACCACCCGCTGCAGCCAGCGAGACAGTGGCATGTTCTTGTTACAACTCGATCTAACTCCCCCAGAAGAGGAGGCAGGGAAGGCGGACAAAACTGGGAGAGGGAGAGAGTGTTAGGAAGAGAGTAGGGTGGCCAGAGGCAGCAAATAAAATATAAAATGCTTAATTCTGAATCTCAGATAAACAACCAATAATGTTTTTTAGCATAAGTATGTCCCAAACTAAGCTTGGGACATATTTACGCTACGAAATTATTCGTTGTTTATCTAAAATTCAAACTAGCTGGGCATCCTGTCTTTTAATCTGGCAACCCTAAAAGGCAAGGGCCAAAAATGCCGGAGGCAAGCCAACGGATTCCAGGAGGGACAACTGCTGGACTTGACTGATGATGCTCTTTTTATATATTTAACTTTTTAAAAAAGCCTCTTTTCTTTCTTTTTACCAGCTTTTCACTAGCTTTTTAAAAACTGTGGTAAAACATACATAACCTAAAATTCACCGTCTAAACCATTTTTCAGCATACAGTTCAGTGGGATTAAGTAGATTCACACCGTTGTGCCGCCATCACTACCACTCATTTCCAGCACCCTTCCATCACCCCAGCCTGAAACTCTACCCATTGAACACGAGCTGCCCAACTCCGCCTTGCTTCCCCATTCCTGGCGACCACTGCTTCTGTCTCTGTGAATTTTGACTATTCTAGGCACTTCACAAAACTGGACTCATACGATATCTGTAGTTTTGCGTCTGGCTTCTCTATTTAATTCTTAAAGGGGGGTGGGAACTAAGCAGATCACAAGGGAGCTGCCCACAGAGGTAAAGACAAGGTCAGGTAGGCTGAGAGACGCAGGAAAGCGGGTCAAGGCGTAGGGCTGGAGGGCAGGGGCGGGCCCTGGGCCTGGGCTGGGGGTCCTGCCCCGGGGCGCACCCCGGGCAAGGGCTGCCCGGAGGAGCCGAGGCTGGCGGACAGCTTGGCCCTGAGCTTGAGGGGAAGGCAGCGATGGGACAAAGGACGGAGGTCTGGGAAGAGGGTCTGCAGAGCAGAAAGCACGGGTAGGGGCGGCCTGACGCTCGGAAGACAACGCATGGGAGCCGTGTGCACGTCGGGAGCTCGGAGTGAGCGTGAGTTCCGTGCCCAGGCCCGCGACTCGGCCCGACAGGACAGCGCTCCGGGTCGACGGGGTCCTGGAGCCGCGCTCGGGGAGGGCGCAGCGGAGGGCGAGCGGCGGCGTTAGGACCCGGAGGCGCGGGCGGACTGTGGGCGGCGGGGCTAGGACCCAGCGGCTCCGGCAGAGCGGAAGCGGCGGCGGGAGCTTCCGGGAGGGCGGCTCGCAGGTGAGGAGGCGTCCGGGGCCGCGGGAAGTAGGGTCGTGGGGGCCTGGCGGGGCGAAGTAGGGGACCCGGAGGGGCTGGAGGGAGGCGGGCGGGAGGCCCGGGACCGTTCCTGACCGAGAAGCCTGCGCCAAGCTGGTGTTCCGCGGCCGCTGCCCGGTGCCCGGCTCCACTGCGAACGCCGCCGCTGGGCCCCGACCGCCCGGGAGGCGTCTTGGGCTCGCCCCGGAGCTTCCTCCCTGGAGCCGCGCCCTGCACCCGGCCTTGCCCGGCCCTAGCAGGGAAGCCAAGGCTTGTGGGGCGCAGGGACCCGGGCTCTGCGGGGTCCCGGTTCCGCCTCCCCACTTCTGCGTCTTCCCGCCCCGGCCGGGTTCTGGGAAGCCTCGCGCGGCTCTTCCGCAGCTGCTGCCCGCCCGGAGCTCCTGGTCCCTCGTAGGGGACCCCACTTCTCTGACACCGCGTTGGGTTCCCGGGGCCTACAGCGAGGCCTGTAACTCCGGGAGAGACCCTGGAGCGGGGTGTGGGAGAACGGTCTGGAGGAAGGGCTCCGAGCACTTCGAAAGTATAAACCGCGGTCCCAAAGAGGCGTGCTGTGTCTGCATTTTCCTGGGAGTGCACGGTTTACATTCTGTAAAGCAGTGCTGTCGACTAGAAATATTGTGCGATACACATGTACAAGTTTTGTCACTTAAAAAGAATTTGAAAAAACTTCATAGATGCAAAAAAAAAAAACCCACCATTATTAAATAATACTTAGGTATTTGTGGAATGCATTGAAGAGTTAACAAAATGGATAGGCAGGAAATATCGCAGACCTAGAATGAATTACAGTTACCCACTGTGGAACTGAGGAGCTAGGGTTTCTCATAAAACTCCCTGATAGAAGACGACTTTTGATAAAATTTTTTTTCCGCCAACAAAATCCCCTGTCTTCTCAACTAGTTACTGTCTGTCCACTAAATAAGAGGTGGTCCGTCACTTCTTCAGATGAGCAACTACAGGCTTTTCAAAAGATAATTGCTAATCAACCCCTTTGTGCCTGGGTTTTCTTATTTGTAAAAATAGATACTACTACCTAACTCCAAAGTGTGTGGTGAAGACAAACAATTGGGGTGATGTATACTAAAGTAACGAAAGTGTTGACCACACACTACGGGCTGGTTAGTGTTAGATTCCCTTGTTTTTCCCTCAGTATCAAAAACAGATCTAATTTAGGTTTACATAAAGACAAAGTATGAAGATAAGGTGACTTACAGTTGGTACTACTAACAAAATGTTTGGGCTAAGATTTGCATTATTGCATGAAAACAACAAAACATATCAATAACAAAAAGCTTGGAATTCAGACGACAGATCCAAGTCTGGGCTTGATCTCAAGCTAGTGTTTTGATGTTGAAAAAATGTTATTTGGTCTTTCTAACCCCATTTCCTTATGTAAAATAGGGGATGATGATAAATTCACTGATAATAAGAGTTAAATGAGATTCTTGAGGAGTCAGAATGGTTCTAACATGTGTAGGTATTATTAGCAGTCATACTGTAGCATAAGAAAATACCGTCTGCTGAAAGAGGGACAATAAAGATTATCTACATGGTCATCATTTAAAAGCTACCAGATATAGGAAGAAGGGGCCATAAAATGATAACGTTATGATGATTAATTTTGATGCTTAGGTCAGAGTCCATTCTAGGATATCTGCTGCCCAAAAACAGCAGAGACTCATTTCTTTGGAATCACAGGACGCTGAGTGAGAGGAAAGAAAAAGAAAAGAAATATTTAAGTCACATATGTGATTTCTAAAAGTAAAAAGAAACAGATGAAATTAGTGATATATTTTTAAAATCCAGTATATCCCAAATATGGTTATTTTAGCATGTAATCAATATAAAATAATAAGATATTTTACATTCTTTTTTTCTAGTCTTTGAAATTTGGTGCATATTTTACACTTATGGCACATCTCAATTCAGACTATCCACATTTCAAGTGCTCAGTGGCTGCATGTGCCTGGTGGCTACCATATTGGACAGCACAGGTCTAAGGATTTCATTCCTGCCACAAGTCCAAACTCCTAGCTTTAATTTTGAGTGTTTTTAACAAACTGGCCTCTGTTTATCATTCTTTCTTCTAGTACTTCCCCAAGGATGATTGTACCCTCAGCACTCAAGACCGCTTGCGGTTCCCCTACACACTTTTTGTTCAAGCTGTTTCTTTTACCTGGAATGCTGTCTTTGCACCTTCTTCCTGGACCTGGTTCACCCTTGTTGCCTAGGCTGGAGTGCCATGGCGCGATCTTGGCACACTGCAACCTCCACCTCCCTGGTTCAAGTGATTCTCCTTCCTCAGCCTCCCGAGTAGCGGGGATTACAGGCATGCACCACCACGCCTGGCTAATTTTGTATTTTTAGTAGAGATGGAGTTTCACCATGTTGGTCAGACTGGTCTCGAACTCCCGACCTCAGGTGATCTGCCTGCCTTCGCCTCCCAAAGTGCTGGGATTACAGGCGTGAGCCGCTGCGCCCGGCCGAGAGGCACACATTCTGCTAAGAGCTTTTTCCTGACTCCCCTAACTCCAAGAGGGATTTGTCACTCCTTAGCTTTGTACTCATGACTGGAGTAGAATGAATTTAATTTGAGTTTAGTTGTTTTTGAGACTCTCCCTGGCTAGTGTAGTGTCTTATTCGTCTTTGTTGTGATCATGGTCTGCACCTAACAGATGATCAGTAGATGTTTGCAGACAGAAAGTAAACCACTCATCAGGTGTATTCAGTCCCATTCTTGAACGGGCTTGCTGTCTCCTTTTTGAGGAGATCTGTGTATGTACTCTTCTTTCACGCATATGTGTGAGCAAACACACACACACTAACAAGAAATTCATCTGAAGATGTGCACAGGAAATATCTTGCATCTTTACCCCCTTTGTGATCTTACATATGGGAGAACTGAGGCACAGAAATAAGTTAGGACAGCCAGCAAACTTGCATCAGTATAAATACAAAGAAGGGGAGGGAGGAACATGCTTGAAAGGGGTGTGCTGGTCTCAGAGGGTTAGGTTTCTCAGTTGGCTGGGCATCAGCTGGCCATGCTTTAGTTATTTGATGGGAGGAAAAATAAGTGCGAGGTGAGGAGTAACTCCTGGGCTCTGATGAGTATTCTAGGCAAGTACAGATCTGGAAAGCCTGTATGCAAAGGAGGAACTCACTGAAAAGTGCTGGCCTGAGGAGGGCAGAAGGGAGGGCTGGGGAAGCCAGCAGGGGGAGCAAAGGAGTAGGCTTCAGCTGGGTGAATCCGGTGTGGTATGTTATGTAAAATATACAAATTATTATTGGGAATAACCACGTCTCAGCAGTGCTAGTTCTCAGTTTGGAGAATGGGAAATCGAAAGGATCAGATTCAGAGACGGCAACTTACTCAAGGTCACAGCATTTTAAACCCAAATGAAATCTCCTAGGCCCTTCATGCCACACTCATCCATCCCTACCTACTTGTGTTGCAACCAAGGGCCCCACTGTAGTGCCTAGGGGAGCAGGTCTAGGGCATAGTGCCAGGCCTGATTAATGTCTTCCTTACCATTTTCCAGCGAGGGGCTGTGATTAGGCCTATTTATAGGGGCCTGGTCCCTTAATATTCTGCCTGGTGCATCTCTTGCCAATCAAATCAGTGCTGTCTGCAGTGTGATTGCTGCTGTAGTGGCACCAGGGAGAGGAGTTAATTAAACCCAATATAAATAGACTCTCCCCTCACTGTGCAATTCCAGGAGTGTTTTTCCTTCCTGTCCTCCACCCCCACAGGCACCTCTTTCCTCTTGGCCCCCTAAGCTCTAGCCTGGGTGAGCAGGGCTGGATACTCCTATACCTAGAGTCACTAGCCACTGCCCAGTCTGTTTCAGGAGCAGACCTCAAATTCCTCAGGGGTTAAAGTGGGAAGAACCCGTGTGTGCACATTTTTTGTGCTTTTCCAGAACTGTGTACCATTTGGCAGTTGATCAGGCAATCTCCCCCGCTACCCCATTTCTACCCCTTTGTTTCCAGCCTCTTTTTTCCTCTGCAACCAAGGTTTCTTGTTTATCCAAGGTGGGGAGCTGAACTGAGACAAGGTATGGAAAGGGTGCCTGGCAGGTAGCAAGCACCTTGTAGGGGGTCAGAAATGTTGCACCTTCTCTGAACTCCTCCATTGACCCTAGAGATTCCCCAGTCCCTGGCCCTGCCCTTTCCCTCATTCACTCAGCAGGCATCAGCAGAGTCCCATCTATGCGCTCCTGGCCTCTCAGCAAATGCTCTGTCCCCTACTCCCCTATCTGTGCAGGCTGAAGCTATGTGCATAGTTGGGATGAGGGCTGTGTTGTCTCAACACCACGCTGCCCTGTGGTGGGGGCGTGCCGGTGGTCGTGGGTGGCTCTGATGCTCCGGCTCCGACCCACAGGCACCATGACTCCTGTGAGGATGCAGCACTCCCTGGCAGGTCAGACCTATGCCGTGCCCCTCATCCAGCCAGACCTGCGGCGAGAGGAGGCCGTCCAGCAGATGGCGGATGCCCTGCAGTACCTGCAGAAGGTCTCTGGAGACATCTTCAGCAGGTGGGTGCTGCCACTCACCCCCACCTGATGAGAGGGCCATCCCTGTCCTGGGCAATCCCAGCAACACACCCTCTGGGAGCAGCCCCCTTGGGGAATCCTGGTCCTGGGGAACCCATCTGGTTTCCCTGTGTGGGAGGGGCTGAAGTGAGAGCCCAACTTGGAAGCTTTTACTCCTGGGAGTCCGAGAGCTCACTCCCTTCCACCCCACTTAGCCTCCTGGTTTCCTGTGGTGGCTCTGCTCTCACAACTCATGCTTTTCCTCCCATTGGAGGGCCTATTCCTTCACGTTTTCCTGCAGCCAACAAATATTTACCCAGCAGTGCTCGTGTGCAAGGCAGTGTGGGAATCTCTATATATCCAGCCATGGATAAGGCAACATACCTCTCCACCTGGAGCGCACATTCTGGCAGGAGAGAAAGACCTAAATAAGCAATAGATGATTAGTTCTTCAATAACAGTTGTGACAAGGTCTATTGATAATATTTTGTAATCGCTAATATTCATATAAACCGTGCACCACCATTGATTTGAGTGCATTAACTCACACTTCATGAGCAGGCACTGCCGTCATCTCATTTTATAGATGAGGAAACTGAGGCACAGAAAGGCTGAGAGACCTGGCCTAGTGACAGAGCCAGGATTCAAAGCCATAGATCATGGCCCCGGGTTACGTAGGTTATTACTGCATCTGTTCAGGGGAGATGGGGTACTGTGAGGCTCGTCATGGGAAGCCTGGCTTGGTCTCAGGTCAGGGAAGGCAGATGTGAGGAAATGACATTTATGGTAAAGTCTGAGGGTTGAGTGGGTGGGTTGGGAAGAACATTCCAGAAAGAAGCACATGAACTACAGCCTGGAGGTGGAGGACCTAAAAGGAAGCCAGCATGGCTGGAGCACGGAGTGGCCATTGAGGGAGGCGAGCTGGAGGGGTGCAGCTTCTTGTATTGGCAGCGCTGACCTCGCACAGTCCTTGGGCTCCAGTGACTTCACTCAGTGTTTATCTTACATGAGTGAGTGAATGGTGTTTGCTGTTTTTTTGGCAAAGGTCCCAGGGGTTGTCGGGTACACAGGTCCTGTCTTTGGCCATAAGCAAACTGAAATGAGGCTTGGTCTCCTTCCCAGGATCCCACACCATGCCTCACATGGTAGACCCCAGCGGGAAGTATGTGACTGCCTGACTCAGGTGCCTCTCGTGGTCCAAGCCATCCCTGCCCTGTCCCTTCCCTGGTTGTCGCCAGACGTGGAGCCCCTGCTCCTTCACTTTGCAGCCCCCTCTTCTGTCACCAACTGGGAACCCACCTCTTCCTGAAAGTCCTCCCCCACTGACTCACCGGCTTGCCCCAAGCTTGTCAAGAATGTCCCAGTAACCAGGGGACACACACTGAAGTGACTGAGGGGTTACCTTGGAGTTGATGCCTTGGCTCAGATCCAGCTCCCCTGTTTTCTTCCTCTGTAACCTTGGGCAACCCAACCCCTCTAAGCCTCGGTGTTCTCATTTGTGAAGTTGTGGTAATAATGGTAGCTTCCTGGTAGAATTATTGTAAATATTAAATTAATCAAAACATGCAAAGGAATGGAACAGTGCCTGGCACCTAGGAAGCCTTCAGGAAATGCTGTCTCTTCCCTGTTGATAATCTTGACCCGTACACTGCCTTTGGTTGCCATTCATGAACCTGCCACCAATAGTAACAAAGTGCTGGATGCACCTTTTGTGCTTATCTTTGTGCTAAATGTGCCTGAGGGACGCCTAGGGAAGAGGATGCAGGTCTTTAAGAGCCATCAGCTCCAGATTATGGCCACCCCATGTCCAGCACTTAGAATGGAGGCCAAAACCATTCCCTCGGAAATTGTGTTTCCTTGCCAAGATGGGGACTGCGTGGTTGCCCTTCTCTGAGGGCAGCGCTGGATTTTTGGCATCTTTCCTTTCCTGTCCTGGTACTTGGCACCTTGTAGACAGTTGCATGTCCCCTGCCCAGGGATGGGATGAGGAGAGGGCAGGAAGGCATTTCCTGGGTAGTGGAGTGCTGCGTTCATTGAGTGTGGGTTCTCCAAGCTGCTGGCACAGCGCAGGGAGGGCCAGATGCCTCTCAGGAGCCTTGGGCCTGAGTCCTGGCTCCCTCACTCCTGGGTTCCAGGTCAATGCATCTGTCTCTCCACCATGTGCTCCACCTCGTGCTGGACCTTAAGAGATACCAATTATGTGGCTGACACTGTGTCCTAGAGGCTGGAATGGGAACACATAGGGCGAGATTGATTGTTAATTGCTAGCATGAACCGCGTGGGCTTCTCAGGGTCTAGAGTGGAGAGAAATCGGTAAGAATTGGTGGCACGCCTGTCAGAACTCCCCAAACCAAGCTAAGCAGAAATTAACCAATCAGTAGAGCAGCCTTCGGAGTAAGGGCTAAAATGATGTCCTCAGGGCCTGGTTTTGCTTTTCTTCCATGTCAGTTTGCTTCTTTGGGTCTGGCTGCATTCCCAGACAGGCCATGCTGTCGTGGTAGCAAGGTGACACGACACAGGGTCAGGTCCAGCAGGAAAGAATGCTCTCCTGTGTCCCCACTTCCTCCAGAAGCCACACTCACCCATCCCACCTGGCTTGGTCCTCATGTCTATCCCAGAATCCATTAATGGGGCCAGGGGACTATGACACAACCACTTGGCTTAGACTGAGGAGCTCTGTGGGCAGCCCCACCTGAAGCTCTGGGACTAAGCCTGCGAGAGAGATGGATTCCCCAAGGGAAATGGGGCCATTGCTTGAGTAAAAAGGAAATAGTTGCTGAAGAGTAAAACCACTTGCTTACTCCACATAGGGCAGACTCCTGGAAGAGGGGGGCAGGGTAGGGAGGTGGATATGCAGGTTGCCCTGGTGGGGTCTGGAAATGGGGGCTGCAGGCTTGGAGGGAGGCCTCAGTGTGGCTTGGAACGTGGTGTATGGTGGTCTGCCGCGAAGGCCGGCCTGCACAGGGGTGGGAGGGGGGAGCTTCTGCATGGGAAGCACAGACAGCGCTGCCTCTCCCTTGCACTCAGCTCTCGGGGCATGAGAGGCTGACTTTCCGTGAGCCTGTGGGCCAGGCCTCTTTGAATGGGGCTGAGGGAGCTTTGCCCTGGTTCCTTTGTGTCCCCACGGTGCCACGGGAGGCTCCCTGGCAGGGTGTGGGGCAAGGCAGTGAGTGAAGAGTTGGGATGAGTGAGTTAGGGCCCACGGATTACTCAAGACAGGACTTCACGTTGATTCAGGAGCGTTAGGGAGCTGTGATTGGATTTTGAGCAGGGCAGGGATGGGACAGAAGAGTTTGGGGAAGGTTCCTCAGGCATCCGTCACGGAAGGGATAAGAAGGGAGAGAGAGTGGATGCCGGGGACACCCAGAAGCTGTTATTGTAGTCAGGATGCGACAGGGGTGAGGCTGCAGACAGGGGACTTGCAAGCAGGGAGGGCAGGGTGAGACATTCAGAGGAAACGACGACAGGAAATGGTGACAGATAGGGAACGAGGATGAAGGGAAGGGAGAGCCAGTGACGACTGGCAGTGGAGTGGGGAGCACCGCCACCTCTCCTCCTCCACTTGCCCCTCCTGTGGCACTGGACAAGCTAGTGGGCTTTTCGTTGTCCATGGGCTTTTTTGGTGGGGATGTGACCAGCTTTGAACCCTTCCCCTTAAACATGCTCCTCCTGCACGGAAGAGACAGGGGCAGGGGAGAGACTCTCTCCCCACCACGCAGCTCAGGCCCCAGTACAGCCCGGCCTCTGGCCTCACTGGCGTCTGTGCCCAGTGACGCAGGCATGTGAGCTCCTGGCAAATTAGCATTGCAGGCTGTGCTCTCTCCTCCGGCTCTGCTGCAGCTGGGAGTGTGCAGAGACTGGAGGGGATGACAGTCACCCCTCTGTTTTCTGTGGTGGCTCTGTTTTCTGTGGTGCTGGATGCACCTCTGCTTTCTGTGGTGGCTCCAAGAGAGTGCACGGTCCCTGCTGATTGAAAGAAGGATGAAGGGCAGAAGAGGGGCGGGGAGCTGTGTACCCTAAGATCTCATTGCCTTTTTATGCCGATTAACATGCTTTTAGCCCCTACTGAGCTTATAGTTAACAGAAGTTTCCAGGTCTTTCTTCACCTGAACTGTGTCTAAAGCAAGTTCCCTCCACCTTCTGTATTTATACGCTTGATTTTTAAAACCTAAATGTTGGGCTTCACATTTGTTCCTTGTAAATTTCATCTTGGTGATTGCAGTCTACCCTATGGCCTTTAAAAATTGTCTGAGCCTTGATTCGATCATGAAACCAACTTACCCTTCCCCTGTGTGCTGGCCCCAGTTTTCTAACCAGGTGTTGAATGAACTGGATGGACTCTGCCAGATCCCTCCGTGCAAGGCTGGAATCAGTCCATTGTTCAACTGTGCCCTTTGGGGCTGTGGTTCATTTGGCTCTGAGTTTTCCTATATGTTCTGTCCTCCAACCCCCATAGCTCCATCTTGTCTACAAGATTTTGTTAGAAGCCGTCAAAATCCTGCTGACTCGAGATGCACTGTGCTGCATGTTTTCCCCGGGCACAGCAGGCTAATAATCCTGTTACAAAGAGAAATGCTGTACATTTCGAGCAGTGCTGGCCCCTGGGACTCACCGCGGCCTTTTCTAAGTGCTTACAGACTCTCTGTTTAATAATCCATTCCAGAAATTTTCCAGGGCTCATTGTTGAGCTTGGTGTTCGCAACTTTGAGTGATCAGCCCTTCTCCTTTGTGGGAGCACCAGGACAGAGCAGCCTTTGTCCCTCCCCAGTCTCAGTTCCCTCCCACTGCCCCTGTGGACCTCGAATGCAGAGCTTATGCACCTACCGAAGGTCGTGTCAGCACCCAAGGCAGAACGAGGCTGCCCTGGGAACTAGGGTCAATTAAGACAGCTTGTGCTGGAGGACCCTTTACAGCAGATGAAGGCCTCTCCCCAGCCAGAAAAGATGGAGCACACGCTGGGTGGTGGCCCCGCTTCCTCACTGGAAGGAGATGGTGCTCTTCTTTTTTCTTTCTGAATTGTGGCCACCTTCATACCAGTCTGTCATGGAACACTTAAGCCGCTTGAGTGCCTGCTGGTACTCCCAGCCCTGCCATGCCTGAGCCCCCTGCACACAAGGAGCCAGGAGTAATCAGGGCAGACCCATTAGGGCGCGGGGACTTCTGGATTGTGAAATTGGCTCTCTGGGGGCCAAGGCCTTCTAACGTTGGTGGAAGTGGCTTTGGCTTATTGGGTCGGATTCTAGGCCATTCATTCCAACCTTTAGAGACATCCCAGCTTTCCCTAGCCCAGAGTCTGCAGCCCCTCCACCATCCCACATCCTCCCCCTCCCTTTCCTCATGAACCCCAGTCGCGCCTCTGCCTTCTCAAACCCCTCCACCATCCCACACCCTCCTCCTGCCCTTCCTCATGAACCCCAGTCGCGCCTCTGCCTTCTCATCCCTGCGCACCACACAGGCTCGCTCGTGCCCGGTGAATGCTGAGGCTGCTCTGCACATGGAGTGTGGCCCTGTGGGCAAGGGCTGGGCTCTTGGAGGTAGGGGAGCTACAGGGGCGACTGGGAGGAGGATGTCGTGTTACACACGCATCAGAGTTAACTTTGCAGTGAGAGCGGCCTTGCTGCGGCCAAAGAACATGGAAAAGCATGAGTGGGGTGATGTGCCTTAAAGCATCAGACACTTGGGCCTCGGGCATCAGGAGCCAGCCACAGGGATGTCTGGGGAAATGGCGTTCCATGAGACGCAAGCACACAAGAATGCACTTGGCACATCTGGGGAACAGCAGGCAGCTGATATCACTGGGCCCACCCCACACCAGGGAGGATGGAAGCAGGTGAGGAGCTAGACCACACTGAGGCGGTGGTCGGGACTCGGGGTTTGCTCAGTGAGCCGTTCACTATGTGCAGGGGCAGTTCCCCGTCTGAATTTAGGTGACGACACTCAGGTCCAGCCTTGCCAGTCTCAGCCTCCGGTCTCCGTTCCCCCTCTGCAGAGGCCACATTGTCTGCTGCACGTGATCATGAGGGGTTGTGAAGTGCTTGCCCCATCAGTAGCCATGTGTGCATGTGTAAATACCATCCTCTGTGTGCCCTGGAGGCTGTCCTTCAGATAGCATGTACAGGTGGCAGCATAGGGCCTGTCCCTACTGAGAGTGCAGGGAACTCAGCACCGTCAACTCCTCGACCCTGCAGGTCAGATTATCCTTGTAGAGGCCCCCTGGATGGCACCAAGATCGGCCCTGGCAAGTAGGTGACCCTGACTTCAGAGCCCTTGCCTGAGGGCCTGGCCTGGCAGCTCTGCTGTTAGAAGCAGGAGGTGTGCAGAGGGTGGGGAGCAGCCCAGCCTCTGTGATCTTCTCCATGGCAGGATCTCCCAGCAGGTAGAGCAGAGCCGGAGCCAGGTGCAGGCCATTGGAGAGAAGGTCTCCTTGGCCCAGGCCAAGATTGAGAAGATCAAGGGCAGCAAGAAGGCCATCAAGGTAGTCCCCATACCCCTGTGTCCTGAGGCTACTGGGCAGTCCCTCCATTTCCCCGTGCCTCTGAGGCTGCCCAGTCTCTGCCCTGCTGCCCACCTGTACCTTGAGCTTTCTTCTCGCCCAGGCTTCCAACTCCACCCTCTCCTGCCAAGCAATCCTAGCCCTCTGAGCCTCTTGGGGCCCCCTCAGACTTGTCCCTGTGTCCACAGGTGTTCTCCAGTGCCAAGTACCCTGCTCCAGGGCGCCTGCAGGAATATGGCTCCATCTTCACGGGCGCCCAGGACCCTGGCCTGCAGAGACGCCCCCGCACAGGATCCAGAGCAAGCACCGCCCCCTGGACGAGCGGGCCCTGCAGGTCTGCTGGCCGCGCATATAGCCTGTCACACACCAGGAGGACTGGATACTGGGGAGGAGCCGGGGCCACCATAGGGTTCTGTCCCCCAGAGGAGGCTGACTGGGATGGGATGGCAGCTGATTAGGCCCAGCACCAAATATTCACCATCCCTTGGCCATCCTGGCCCTCCCAGGAGAAGCTGAAGGACTTTCCTGTGTGCGTGAGCACCAAGCCGGAGCCCGAGGACGATGCAGAAGAGGGACTTGGGGGTCTTCCCAGCAACATCAGCTCTGTCAGCTCCTTGCTGCTCTTCAACACCACCGAGAACCTGTATGGCCAGAGGGCAGGGCCGAGGGGTGTGGGCGGGAGGCCCGGCCTGGCTTAGTGGGGACCCAGGTCATCAGACACAGGTACAGCACATAGGCCAGGAGCCAGGGGGTGACTGGGGTGGCTCGGCTCGGGAGGCCTGGGACCCCACAGTGCACGCTGTGCCCCTGATGATGTGGGAGAGGAACATGGGCTCAGGACAGCGGGTGTCAGCTTGCCTGACCCCCATGTCGCCTCTGTAGGTAGAAGAAGTATGTCTTCCTGGACCCCCTGGCTGGTGCTGTAACAAAGACCCATGTGATGCTGGGGGCAGAGACAGAGGAGAAGCTGTTTGATGCCCCCTTGTCCATCAGCAAGAGAGAGCAGCTGGAACAGCAGGTGGGAGGGGTGGGACAGAGGTGGAGACAGGTGCAGTGGCCCAGGGCCTTGCCAGAGCTCCTCTCCAGTCAAGGCTGTTGGGCCCCTTATTCCACCCATGGGAGGTGCACACAAGGTCTTGTTGGCTGCCCCTGCAGGTCCCTGTCACCTCTCACATGTCCCTGCCTAATCTTGCAGGTCCCAGAGAACTACTTCTATGTGCCAGACCTGGGCCAGGTGCCTGAGATTGATGTTCCATCCTACCTGCCTGACCTGTCCGGCATTGCCAACGACCTCATGTACATTGCCGACCTGGGCCCCGGCATTGCCCCCTCTGCCCCTGGCACCATTCCAGAACTGCCCACCTTCCACACTGAGGTAGCCGAGCCTCTCAAGGTAGGTGAGCTGGGTTCTGGGATGGGAGCTGGGCCGGGGACCTCCCTGGTCACACACCTTCTTCCCTAGACACCCCATACTTTGTGTTTCAGACCTACAAGATGGGGTACTAACACCACCCCCACCGCCCCCACCACCACCCCCAGCTCCTGAGGTGCTGGCCAGTGCACCCCCACTCCCACCCTCAACCGCGGCCCCTGTAGGCCAAGGCGCCAGGCAGGACGACAGCAGCAGCAGCGCGTCTCCTTCAGGTGGGAGCAGCTCTTTGAGGCCACCTGATTTCTGGTGTGCTCAGTGCACTCGGGTGGATTTTCTGTGGGTTTATTAAGTGGTCAGAAATTCTCAATTTTTTGAATAGTTCCCATTTCAAATATCTTGTTCTACTTGGTTCATAAAATAGTGGTTTTCAAACTGTAGAGCTCTGGACTTCTCACTTCTAGGGCAGAGGGAGCCTGAACAAGTGAGGCTCTGGGTTCCCCGTTCCTAATTAAACCAATGGAAAGAAGGGGTCTAATAACAAACTACAGCAACACATTTTTCATTTTAGCTTCACTGCTGTATCTCCCAGTGTAACCCTAGCATCCAGAAGTGGCACAAAACCCCTCTGCTGGCTCATGTGTGCAACTGAGACTGTCAGAGCATGGCTAGCTCTGGGGTCCAGCTCTGCAGGGTGGGGGCTAGAGAGGAAGCAGGGAGTATCTGCACACAGGATGCCCGCGCTCAGGTGGTTGCAGAAGTCAGTGCCCAGGCCCCCCCACACAGTCTCCAAAGGTCCGGCCTCCCCAGCGCGGGGCTCCTCGTTTGAGGGGAGGTGACTTCCCTCCCAGCAGGCTCTTGGACACAGTAAGCTTCCCCAGCCCTGCCTGAGCAGCCTTTCCTCCTTGCCCTGTTCCCCACCTCCTGGCTCCAGTCCAGGGAGCTCCCAGGGAAGTGGTCGACCCCTCCGGTGGCCGGGCCACTCTGCTAGAGTCCATCCGCCAAGCTGGGGGCATCGGCAAGGCCAAGCTGCGCAGCATGAAGGAGCGAAAGCTGGAGAAGAAGAAGCAGAAGGAGCAGGAGCAAGGTGAGCGGGCCCTGGAGCTTGCAGTCGGAGGGCCTTGGGCAAGATCGCCTCCTCCCCTCCAGCCCTGAGTCCACCGGGTGCTTTCTGCCCACCCCCTGCTCTTGCCAACTGGCCCCTGCTTCCCCTAGGGCACATGCTGGAAGCCCTGGGCCGCCACCAGAGGTCCTCAGCCCTCCTGCCTGGGCTATGGCTCCTTCCTGGTTTGGGAGCCATAGTGGAGCTTTCCTCTCTAAGCTCACCCAGCTCAAACTGACAGGAGAATCTTCTTCGACTGCCAAGAGCGGTCCAAGGCAATGGTCAGCCACTGCAGCCTCCTGAGATATTTTTAGAGACTGGACCTGAGGCCTCTGGAGGCTACTGATGATGCCTGCTGTGAACGCAGACACTGGTGTGATGCGATGCCTGCGCCTGCAGCGGCAGTGCCCTGGGCACTATGGTTTTGAGCTTGTACCCAGCGCTGCTTTTGCCTTGCTCTGTGACCCCAGGCAAGCTGCCTCACCTCTCTGGGCCAGTTTCCCCATCGTACAGTGGTGCTGCACACCCTGGCCCTGGCCCCGAGGTGGCTGGGAGGTGGCTCCTCAAACCGCCGCTGTCTCATCAGTGCCTGGTGCTGGGTCAGGGATCGACTGAGGCTCTGAGCTAACTGGGAAACACAGTGGCCTTGGAGGGCTGGGGAGTGTCATGGGGGTGGGGACAGGGAGTCACCGGTCGCATGTGACTGAACTCTTCACCCCAGTCTGTGGCTTTCCCGTTGCAGTGAGAGCCACGAGCCAAGGTGGGCACTTGATGTCGGATCTCTTCAACAAGCTGGTCATGAGGCGCAAGGGTAGGAGGCAGGGCCGCTGCCCGCCCTGGGCCAGCACCTTGTAATTCTGTCCTGCCTTTTTCTTCCTGTATTTAAGTCTCCGGGGGCTGGGGGAACCAGGGTTTCCCACCAACCACCCTCACTCAGCCTTTTCCCTCCAGGCATCTCTGGGAAAGGACCTGGGGCTGGTGAGGGGCCCGGAGGAGCCTTTGCCCGCGTGTCAGACTCCATCCCTCCTCTGCCGCCACCGCAGCAGCCACAGGCAGAGGAGGACGAGGACGACTGGGAATCCTAGGGGGCTCCATGACACCTTCCCCCCCAGACCCAGACTTGGGCCGTTGCTCTGACATGGACACAGCCAGGACAAGCTGCTCAGACCTACTTCCTTGGGAGGGGGTGACGGAACCAGCACTGTGTGGAGACCAGCTTCAAGGAGCGGAAGGCTGGCTTGAGGCCACACAGCTGGGGCGGGGACTTTTGTCTGCCTGTGCTCCATGGGGGGACGGCTCCACCCAGCCTGCGCCACTGTGTTCTTCTCTTAAGAGGCTTCCAGAGAAAACGGCACACCAATCAATAAAGAACTGAGCAGAAACCAACAGTGTGCTTTTAATAAAGGATCTCTAGCTGTGCAGGATGCAAACGTCTCGGGGTCAGTGACTGCCTCCTGCCCCTGTTGGTCCCTAGGCAGTGGGGGCAGAAGCTCCCAGCTGACCTGTTTCTCTGGGATGAGAGGGAGGAGAGAAGGGCAGTCAGCAGGGGCAGCTGTTGCAGATGGGAGGAATAGTCTCCCACAAAAAAGGTTTCAGTGACAGACACGGGGTCTCTAAAAATAGTCATGCTGAGAGCCTAATGGCCCTTGGCACAATTGCTGGTGTTGGGGTAGAAGATGTCTTGGAGTTTGCTCAAGTGGTTGAGAGGGAGGGAGGTGCCATCGACTTGGAGGAACTGGCACCAAGCCAGGGAGATAGAAATCCAGGCAAGGCTGTGGGGCAGGTTAGGGAGCAAGGCTGCAGGAGTGACTCAGGAAGAAGGTGGGGAGGTGACAAGCCCCCAGGCAGGGGCCCTGTGGCCATGGGGATCTTCTTAAATTGAGACTAGGGGGTGAATAGTCCAGGGCAGCTAACTTTAGTTATTATAGAAAGGGCAGTAGCAGATGGGTCTGCTCCGTCTCGCTTCTAAGAAGGTGGGCAGGACAAATGGCAGCCTCCTGCAGAGGCCCAGTGAGAAGCCTGGCCCTCGGCCACGCAGGATGGAAGACAGATTGGATTCCACAGAGGGGAGCTGCCCTGGGAAGATCTCACGGATGGCCAGGACCCACCATTTCTTCGGGATTCCCGTTTTCTCCAACGGGCACTAATGCCTGTGCCTGGGTCCTGGCAACACTCTGGACTCCACACTCTCCTGGGTTTCACCTTTGTAGCAGGATCCCTGCAGACCAGGCCCATGACAAACACCGTCTCCAGCGGGCAGAGCAAAGGAAGGGCACAGCGCCAGGCAGTGGTGCAGCTGCCTGTCAGGAAGAGGCCTACTTCTGGTGAAACTGGGCAGACAAAAGGCAGTGAGAAATGTGATCTCGGGGTGGTGGAGGCTCTAGGGAAAGGAAAAGGCAGGAGTGAACTTCCACACAGCAGCAATGGCAGAACCAAAGGTGGCTTTGACCTCCACGAGGGCTCAGATCCAGGCCAACAGCATGTCCAGGACAGGGTGCCGGGTGTATCACTGGTCCAGGAGCACTATGCTGGCAGAATCCCTTTGGTGCCTGATGGCCCTGCCTTCGTGGGAACAGAGGCTAAGGCTTTGAGTTACAGCTGCCTCCCCAACAGTGCATCCCCTTCTCCTTCCTCAGCCTCAGGTAGGAGACAGGGCAGGCAACCCCCCTTTCCTCTTCTCCCCTTCTCCAGCCCCTGTCTGTCGACCCAGCTGGAGGCAGCCAGGCTTGCCTATGGACTGGTTGACAGCCTTCATGCACAGGTTCTCCACCAGAGCCTTTCTTGGGGGCCCCTGGCCTGGGCTCTGAGCTGGGAGTGAAGGGGATGACCCATGCAGACTGTTTGCTGCTTGTAGCTTTCCCTGGGAAAGACTCTGCCAGGCCTTGGAGCCAGACTAGGAGGCTTTATAGGCCACCGCAAGCAGCAGGGCTCCAGATGACATCACAGGGAAGATCAAGAGGGTGTGGAGGGGCATCGAAGCCTCTCCAGGAGACAGGAGATGCCGGCCCCGTAGAGCCCTAGGGGCGACGCCACTCCCACTCACTGTCTACTCTCCTCTCACCTCTGCAACACTGGGGACACTCACAAGAGTGTGATCCAAGTCGGCCGTCGTCTTCTGCAGCTCTGGAGACCTGATGCTGGGGAAGGGCATGCCTGGCATCACCACACACCTGGGGGGAGACAGGAGCCTGGGGCCGGTGGGCCCACACATCACCAGCTGCTCCGTTCTACCATTTCTTCAGCCCTCTTGGCTGTGCCTGCGGCTCTGCCCCTCCCGTCTCTGCACCTACCACCCAGAGAGGGCTTGTTGAGCTCAGAGATCCCACCTAGGCCAATCCACTGGGTTCTGTGGCAGCGATGGCCTGCCTGATCTTCCACCTGCTCTCCCAGGGCCAAAGGTAGACCTGCTGAGCCCCTCCCTCCAGCCGGCTGGTCTGAGCAGTCACAGCCCGGCTTTGGGCTCCGATGGCAGCAGACGGCAGGTAGGGGTCCAGCTGCTGGAGCGAGGGCTGGCCATGTATCACAGCCAAGGAGATGAGCACAAGCACTACTTACTGGCCTAGGTTGTGAGAGAAGTTGATGCTGTCACTCATCTTTCCTCCAATCTTTCCCCTATGCCTGGTTGTGGTATTAAGTTACATGCAGACAACAGGGGCCAGAAGATGAACAATGGCCCATCCCACTCTAGGCATGGCTCCTCTCCACAGGAAAACTCCACTCCAGTGCTCAGCTTGCACCCTGGCACAGGCCAGCAGTTGCTGGAAGTCAGACACCTGCAGATGAAGACCACAGCATCAAGACCCTGTGACCTCTCAAAGGCCCGGTGGAAAGGACACGGGAAGTCTGGGCTAAGAGACAGCAAATACACATGAACAGAAAGAAGAGGTCAAAGAAAAGGCTGACGGCAAGTTAACGAAAAGAAAAATGGTGAATGATACCCGGTGCTGGCAATCTCGTTTAAACTACATGCAGGAACAGCAAAGGAAATCCGGCAAATTTGCGCAGTCATTCTCAACACCGGCCATGCAGCAAAATCATCAGTGGAAATTTAAAAAAATACACATGGCCAGGCCCCAGCCCAAATCACTAATAAGAATCTCCAGGGCTTCACCTGTTAGACTGGCAAAAATCCAAAAGTAAACACTTTGTGGAGAAACAGGCATTCCTAGACATTGCTGGTGGGATACAGAACAGTACAATTCTGATAGTAATCAGTTAACAAATTAAACATATTTATTTTATACTTTTAAACCCAGGAATCCCATATTTAGGAGCCTACTGAGACCAAACAGCATATGCTCCGGGTGTTTCCCTATAATCCGCCACTACTGTTGGAGCAAGAGGGCCCGGCAGTGTCCCCAGCTGCCAGCAGGCGGGCGTGCTGCCACTACACCTTGAGCAAGAGGACCCTGCAATGTCCCTAGCTGCCAGCAGGCGGCGTGCCACCACTATACAGTAAGCAAGAGGGCCCTGCAGTGCCCCGGCGCCAGCAGGGGGCGCTGGCCACCACTCTAAGCAAGAGAGCCCTGCAGTTGCCCTAGTCGCCAGCAGGGGGCGCCCTGGCACAGCACCGTGAGCAAGCGGGTCCTGTAGTGCCCGGCTGCAAGCAAGGGGCTGTCGATCCCGGCGTTTCGGATTACTGAGGTTCCACCCGTCTCTGCGCCGCGCCGCCGTGACGTGAGTTTCTGCGCGTGCACGGCGCCCCCCCCCCCCCCCCCGCCCCCAGCCCGGCGCCGTGCGACTTTGCTCCTGTAACACACGCCCCCCCCAACCCCGCCCGTAGGCGTGCGTCTCTGCGCCTGCGCCACGCCTCCACCCCCTGGACGCGCTAGCATGTGTCTCTGCGCCTGCGGCAGCACGGCGCGCCTCTCTGCGCCTGCGCCACGCCTCCTCCCCTGGGCGCGCTAGCATGTGTCTCTGCGCCTGTGCCACGCCTCCTCCCCTGGACGCGCTAGCATGTGTCTCTGCGCCTGCGCCGGCGCGGCGCGCCTCTCTGCGCCTGCGCCGGCGCGGCGCGCCTCTCTGCGCCTGCGCCGGCCCGGCGCGCCTCTCTGCGCCTGCGCCGGCGAGGCGCGCCTCTCTGCGCCTGCGCCGGCGCGGCGCGCCTCTCTGCGCCTGCGCCGGCGCGGCGCGCCTCTCTGCGCCTGCGCCGGCGGAGTTGCGTTCTCCTCAGCACAGACCCGGAGAGTACCGCGAGGGCGGAGCTGCGTTGTCCTCTGCACAGATTTCGGTGGTACTCTGAAGGCGGAGCACAGTTCTCCTCAGGTCAGACCCGGGCGGGCGGGCCGGCTGAGGGTACCGCGAGGGTTAGGGTTAGGGTTAGGGTTAGGGTTAGGGTTAGGGGTTAGGGGTTAGGGTTAGGGTTAGGGTTAGGGTTAGGGTTTAGGGTTTAGGGTTAGGGTTAGGGTTAGGGTTAGGGTTAGGGTTAGGGTTGTTAGGGTTAGGGTTAGGGTTGTTAGGGTTAGGGTTAGGGTTAGGGTTAGGGTTAGGGTTAGGGTGTTAGGGTTAGGGTTAGGGTTAGGGTTAGGGTTAGGGTTAGGGTTAGGGTTAGGGCTAGAGTTAGGGTTGGGTTAGGGTTGGGTTAGGGTAGGGTTAGGGTTAGGGGTTAGGGGTTAGGGTTTGGGTTCGGGTTTGGGTTATGGTTAGGGTTCGGGTTCAGGTTCGGATTTAGGGTTCAGGTTTATGGTTCGGGTTAGGGTTCAGGTTAGGGTTTGGGTTGGGTTTAGGGTTAGGGTTTAGGGTTAGGGTTTGGGTTAGGGGTTAGGGGTTAGGGTTAGGGGTGAGGGTGAGGGTGAGGATGAGGGTTAAGGTTTAAGGGTTAAGGGTTAGGGGTTAGGGTTAAGGGTCAGGGTCAGGGGTTAGGGTCAAGGGTTAGGGTCAAGGGTTAGGGTTAGGGGTTAAGAGTTAGGGGTTAGGGATTATGGTTTGGGTGAGGGTGAGGTGTGAGGGTGAGGATGAGGGTTAGCGTTTTAGGGTTATGGTTAGGGTTAAGGGTTAGGGCTAGCGGTTAGGGGTTAAGGGTTAGGGGTAGGATAAGGGTAAGGATTAGGGTTAGGGTCAGGGTAAGGGTAAGGGTAAGGATTAGGGTTAGGATTAGGGTAAGGGTAAGGGTTATGGTTAGGGTTTTAGGGTTAGGGTTAGGGGTTAGGGGTTAGGGTTAGGGTTAGGGTTAGGATTAGGGTTAGGATTAGGGGTTAGGGTTAGGGTTAGGGTACTGTAAATAATTTCACATTATTACTAATAATAAATTATTATTTGTATTACACTATTACATAATGTAAAGGCTATTAAGACATGTTTGTCTTCAAAGAATGGCCTTGGTTTCTGTGGGCAGTGCCTCCTCATGGAAGGGTAATGCATTCCTGCTAAATCATGGACAAAACGGGCTTCCAGGAGCTACAGGCTGCAGCAGCAGCTCCTCCTCTAAGTCCTTCACTGCCTCAAACTCTTGTTGACTTTGTAAGCTTCTTTCAGTCTAGTTTTTTCAACAGAGCTAGTATTTCATGAGGTTCTACTACATACCAGGTTCCAGAAATCTAAATGCCTTTTGTTTGTTATTTTTCACTAAATACAAATCACAACTCTCTCCTCATTACTCACACAACAAAATTTAGCTGAGGGAGATTGAGTGACTTTCCTAGGGTCACATAGCTACTAAGAGCAGAGCCGTGTTTAGATTCATGTGGGAATATTGAACACAGAAATGAACCAGTGGAAACATCCTGTGTTCCAAAAGCCTACTCAAGCCATTTGTTCTTATTTTAAGGAAAATCTTTATGCTAATTTTAAACTCCAAATACTTATGAATGGCAGAGATCTACAGATTTGATTCTGATGTAAGAAATGATGGTCACCAGCCGGTTACTGCTACCACCCCACAACCCCGAGCATACTGGACGAATGTCTAAGCCTTGTGGTTAGTGGGGACAATGCTGGTGGAGTCTGAAGTTGTCATGCAGTGACTCATGCAAGCTTAGGCAGATTTGGTGATATATGACACAGAGATGCAAAGAAATGTTGTAGCTGACACACACAGGCTGGCTCTGGGAGATGCAGAAGGAGCACGTCACCCAAAATAGAGCCAGACAGACATCCTTAAGGAAGGAGCAAAGGGGCTGCATCTTAAAGAATGTAGAAAGGATTTGTCATGAGAGATGGGGCAGGAAGTTCTTCAGAGGCAGAGGGAGAGCATGAGAATGTTGGGAAGGGAGGAGAGATTCTTGCACATCTGGGAAGCTGACAATCCATCAGCATGGCCAGAAGGAAAATAAGGAGGAGGAGCAGAAATAGATGAGGCTGGATATAGAAGCAGGGCTGAAGCTGTGTCGATTGTGGTAAAGAGTTGTGATTCTATCCAGAACGCAATAGGTAGCATTCTAAACAGAGATCTTTTAAAACAAGAGTCAGCAAGTATTTTCTGCAGGGGGCTAAATGTTAAATATTTTAAGTTTTCCAAGCCATATGGTCTCTCTCTCAATGACTCAGCTCTTCCATTATACCATGAAAGTAGCCAGAGACATTATGTAACACATGTATTGGCTGTGTCCCATTACAACTTTACTTACAAATGCAGACTGTGTCAGACATGGTCCATGCATGGTAGTTTGCCACACCCTGTTTTAGAAAGCTCAGGTTTATGATGTGATGGAGAATGCCTACAAGAGCTCTTGTTTTAAATGGTAGAGTGAACATACACTGGAATTCTATCCTGCTTGACCCAAGCTCTTGATAGCGAAAGGTAGAAAAGATAGATGGTAAATAGATAGATAGATGATAGATAAAGAAAATACATAGCTGTTCCAGAAAACAGAAATGGATAACTTCATGAACCAAAAGCAGAGTAATATGCTTTAGAAAGGAAGCAGGCCGGAAAACCCACAGTTGCAAAACAAATAGAATTTCCAACTGCCTCTTGTAGCCCCTTCCTGGAAGTAGTCACAGCCCAGGGTGTTCGACTACTTCCTCTGTTTTTTGTTTGTTTGTTGTTTGCTTTTCTGTGGGGTTTCTGTTGTTGTTGTTTGCTTTTAAAAAAAAATTCCCTTTCCCTGCTTTTTTGTCACAGCAGCCTTTGTCACTTCAAACACCGCAAGTGTTCTTTAAAAAAAATTATATCAACCTTTCAATTAAAATGCAACATGTCTGAAAGTTGGTATCTGGAGAGGTGAGTTGGACGAAGGAGCCCTTGTTACTGCACGTTTTCATTCTTCAAATTTCACCTTGCACGCAGTAACAGACAGTGCACAAAGCCACTTCCTTATGGACGGAAATTCTGAAATCCTTTTATGCCTGGCCTTTCCATCCTTCAACTTCCCCTCTCCCACGCTGTGAATGATTGTATTGGACATTTTTGTTTTAATGTCAGTGACAGGGGAACACAGGTAGCTCTAATATAGCTGTGACCCAGATGCTTCTGTTTCTAGCATGTATTTATTTTGTAGCAAACATTTACATCCATGATGTTTCACTGTCTTTTGAAAATAATTAGGCAATATCTCATCTGAGGTAGGATGTTTCTAGGGGTTGTGTTCTGAGGGAGGAAAACTAATCTGTTCTCTTTCCACTGCATTCTAGGAACAGTAAGAGGACCTTGTGCATGAATAATTTGTTTCCACACTACAGAGTGGGTAATAAGCAGACTAGTAAAAACAATTCTGCTTCACTTCAATAACAGCCTCCTCCAACTCATTTTTTCTCAACAAACTTATTTTTCCAGCAGAAGAATCCCAGACTTCTTAGAGAACCCAGTGACTTTTTGCACCTTAAATCTGTGAAATCCTCATGTTTTCTTCTGCCGTATCCATAGTTCAAACAAAGATGAGGCAAAGCTAGACGCATTCCTGAAGGAACCCAAGAAATTCCTCTCTTTCTTTCTCTGGAATGAAATGAATTCTCTAGACCACCAGTTCTAACCTTCAAAAACCAAACCTGTTTGTGAGATCTTCAAATACTACTGTAGACCCCAGTGTTTATTCATTAAATTTTTTAAATATTTGTTTTATTTGGAATCAAAGTATTTGTAATTTTAGTGTTTGTATTAATATCAGGGAGAAATGTTTAAATCTGTCTTATGCCATATGTGCCTCTGGCTTATTGCCCAATTAATTGTAGTCTCAGGCTAAACTTTGGTTTCTGTCTTTAATTTTTGTCAGAAGAAATATAACTGATCTCAAAACATCTGCTTTTATTGTAGGGGCTCGTGCTGCCGTCTCCATTCTTCTCTCTTTTCTTGCAATCTGGGTGGAAGTTCTTTAATATGAACATTTCAACCACCTTCATTCTACCATGTCCACTATCAGCACATTCAAACTGATCCAGCCAAGGCTGTCATCTTAGGCCAGGGATTTTTTAGGAATCTATTTTGCTGTGATGCGGCTGGCACCCCTTTGACTCACTGTATCACCCCAGGGTTCTTTTCATTTCAGAAGCCCAAGAGGGCAGAAAAAGAAGTAGGTGAGCAATTAAACACTCTGAGTCAGGAGCGTCTCCCCTTGCGTTAAGCAATGTTGTAGAACATCGATGTTCTACATCGATGTTGGTGACCTTGGTACCATTTTGTCCACTTGATTGGAAAAGCCAGTCAATAATTTCAGGTCACTGTTGGCCTTAGAAGAAGAGCCCAAAGGCAACAAGCAAAGGCGCTGGTGTCCAGTCGCCTTCTAGAAGCATTTTCACTTTCCCTTAAGGTTTCCCTTGATGAACATAGAAGTACTGTATGTAGAATTGACCCAGTGCTGCCCTGGCAACTTTGTATATTAGGCCAAATTTACATTTCTTACCTTTATGAGAGGCACCCTGGTAGGCTAGTGGAGTTACACACAAAGTCTGATCTCAGCTGCACTGTCCAGAAATGCAACACGGTCCAATCAAATAACATTCTCTGAGCCTGTTTCTTTAGCTGTGAAAGAAGAATAACATACCCATCTAAAAAGTCAGCTTATTGTATTTGATTGGTCTTTTATTTTCTATGAAACTGTGTTTAACACAGTAATTATCTTCATTTGTGTACTACATTTGTGTTGTGTTTTTGGTTTTAGTTTTGTTTTTGAAATGGAGTCTTTTTTTTAGTGGTTTTTTGTTTTGTTTTGTTTTGTTTTGTTTTTGAGATGGAGTCTTTCTATTGTCACCCAGGCTAGAGTGCAGTGGCGTGATCTCCGCTCACTGCAACCTCCACCTCCCAGGTTCAAGTGGTTCTCCTGCCTCAGCCTCCTGAGAAGCTGGGATTACAGGTGCCCACCACCATGCCCAGCTAATTTTTAAAATATATTTTTAGTAGAGATGGGGTTACAACATGTTGCCCGGGCTGGTCTCAAACTACTGACGTCAAGTGATCCACCTGCCTTGGCTTCCCAAAGTGCTGGGATTATAGGCATGAGCCACCGCGCCTGGCTTGTTTTAAAATAAGGGTTTCTTGGCTAGGCATGGTGGCTCACACCTGTAATCCCAGCACTTTGGGAGGCCAAGGTCAGTGGATCACCTGAGGTCAGGAGTTCGAGACCAGCCTGACCAATATGGAGAAACCCTGTCTCAACTGAAAATACAAAATTAGCCAGGCGTGGTGGTGCATGCCTGTAATCCCAGCTACTCAGGAGGCTGAGGAAGGAGAATTGCTTGAACCCAGGGGGCAGAGATTGCAGTGAGCTGAGATCGCACCATTGCACTCCAGCCTGGGCAACGAGCAAAACTCTGTCTCAAAATAAAAAAAAGATTTCTTAAAATGATATTTTCAGTATTTTATAGATGATGTGTAAGCAGCAAGCTTAATAGGATGTTACCCGACACTTTGCGAGACTGGCAGCTGATTTGATCCAGATGTCTCTAATTCTTTTTTCTTTTTCTTTTTCTGTTTTTTTTTTTTGACAGAGCCTTGCTCCGTCCCCCATGCTGGAGTGCAGTGGCACGATCTCGGCTCACTGCAACCTCCACCTCCCGGGTTCAAGCGATTCTCCTGCCTCAGGCTCCCGAGTAGCTGGGATTACAGGCGCGCGCCACCATGCCCAGCTAATTTTTTGTATTTTTGGTAGAGACAGCATTTCACCATGTTGGCCAGGCTGGTCTCGAACTCCTGACCTTAGGTGATCTGCCTGCCTCGGCTTCCCAAAGTGTTAGGATTACAGGCGTCAGCCACTGTGCCTGGCCCAGATGTCTCTAATTCTAACATGAGATGTATTGCAGGATCATAGCAGAGTGAGTTGCTGATGTATCCAGAAGGAAACGAGCATGGAACACTCACGACAGCTGTCCTGAGAAGTGTGTGTGTGCTGTGCTTGAATATCTCACTGCTCATTTATACACAGGCTTTCTGGTGACTGAGTTAACAGTATCTGTTTCATAAATAATGTAGCCCTCTTTCTTTCTTTCTCTCTCTCTCTTTTTTTTTTTTTTTTTTTTTTTTTTTTTTTGAGACAGGGTCTTGCTCTGCTACCCAGGCTGGAGTGCAATGGTGCAGTCTCAGCTCACTGCAACTTCACCATGCCTGGCTAATTTTTTCTTTTTTTTTTTTTTGAGACGGAGTTTCGCTGTTTTTGCCCAGGCTGGAGTGCAATGGCACAATCTCGGCTCACCACAATCTTTGCCTTTTGGGTTCAAGGGATTCTCCTGCCTCAGCCTCCCGAGTAGCTGGGATTACAGGCATGTGCCACCACACCCGGCTAATGTTGTAGTTTTAGTAGAGACGGGGTTTCCCTATGTTGGTTAGGCTGGTCTCAAACTCCTGACCTCAGGTGATCTACCCGCCTCGGCCTCTCAAAGTGCTGGGATCACAGGCGTGAGCCATCACTCCTGGCCTAATTTTTGTATTTTTAGTAGAGAGAGGGTTTCACTCTGTTGGCCAGGCTGGTCTCGAATTCCTGACCTCAAGTTATCTGCCTGCCTTGGCCTCCCAAACTGTTGGAATTACAGGCATGAACCACCATGCCTGGCCAGCTCTATTTCTTTAAGCCTACATGTTTTGCACTTGTTAAAAGTATTTGAACATACAATTACTCAGCTTCCCTTGTTTACGCGTGAATTTTGTAGAATCTTAAATATTTTTTCCAATCTAAGCTTTATTTTATCCCGTTTCTTCTATATTTGTATAACTTTAGGCGGCTATCTTCATTGAAAGTTTTTTCTCAAAAGCCTTAAGATAGAACGTAGTTCTTGGCAGCAATTTGAAAGTTATTTGAGGAGAAGGGGAGACTTACAATGATGATTCAAATGAAGGAAACTAAAAAGTAATGAAGCAAGGCAGAGGAAAAAGCAGTACTCACTTGAGCACATCCCAAAAGAATAACATTTCAAATGTAACTAGAAAAAAGTATGCTGAAGTTCGCAATACAGAAATAATTATTAATAAGATAGCTTTAAAGCCCTGCTCAGCTTTTGAATGTTGGGAATTGACCCAGAGGTGGCTGTAACCTAAGATGGTTCCTTCAGTAATGACCATTTTTTCTTTTTCAAGATGATGATTATTCCCCACCTTCTAAGAGACAAAGACCAACGAGCCACCACAGCCACCAGTCCCAGAACCTGCCAATGCTGGGGAACGGAAAATGAGGGAGTTCAACTCTGGTAAGTTCTCAGCGAAATCCATGACCTTTTCCTTTATCTTCTGTACTCTCAGTGTGACTGATGAAAGTTACCACATGCTCTGCAGGGGGAAATGGTTTAGCATGTGTTACTACATCTTAATCACATCTTTGTAAAGCCAGGAGCATTTTACAAGTCACGTTACAGACATTGTTTAAACATAGTCTGTATTTACCAAAGTATAGGACATTGTATCATCTCATATTAATTAGTTAGTTGGCTCAAAATTAGTGCTAATGACTTAGTAATTCAGTGATTTCTGTTAGCTTTAAAACCTTTATTTCAGAACTATTTCACCTCTTGGTTTTCATTTTTGCGGTGTGTCACTGCCTGCTGGCTGCTAATTTATTAACTCCCAGTGAATCATGTCCTGTGAAGGGACTGAATATTAGTGGCAATGTATGTTGATGATTTGTATTTTGAATAAATAGTTTGAATACATAGAACATTAAGCTTGTATACATTTTGAAAATAGTATTTTAATATTCTACTGTGTCATAGTTACAATGATTGGATATATATTGAATTTATATGTACTTTAAGTTGTTATATGTTTATGGTTTTTAGCATTCTAACGTGCAATTGTATATCTGTTAAGTCTTTTTTATTTTCGAGATTAGACTGATTTATTGAGGCGTCTGTTTGATGCCACATTAAGTGGCCCAGGCTTTGTGTAGGGGTTGAGGTTAAAGCAGGAAGAAGGGTGGTGAGAGGCGGGGCACCAGGGTTAGGTTGGAATACCTGGGGGTGCTCTGAGGCTCCCCAAGTTTCCCTGGTCTTGGCCGGCTGTGCTGCTGGCCTGGGCATCTGATGGGCCTGCAAGGGTGGTCCAGGGGCTAGGGCAGGGACTTTGGAGTCACGCCGTTGGCTTTGAATCCAGACTCCTACACTTGGTAGCTGTGAACTCTCCATGCCTCAGGGACCTGCAGAACTGAGCTCTGTCTGAGCCAGGTTCCATCCAGGCACTGCGCATCCATCCAGAGGGGCACTGCCTCAGGCTGCTCGCTGTTCACTGCCTTCTCAAGCAGACCCTTGTCTCCTTCTAGGCCCTCACAATCCAGTGGAGGAGACGAAACTCATCTGCCTCTGTCCCTCTGGGCACGCCTCATGCCAGGTGCATCTGTGGACAGGGGCCATGCCCCTGGGCTTCCAAAGTTGGAGAGAGCTGCCAGGCTCAGGTGGGTACATCACAGCAGCTGCTGCCCTCTGAACACAGTGACAAAAGAACACTCTGGGCCTGGAGCCCTGGTCTGGGGCATTGGGCAAGGCTGTTGCACTTCTCTGATCCCATTTCCCCATCTGGAAAGTGCGCTGATTGTATCTCCCTGTGGGCACTGAGGGCTCAGTGTTAGTTTGAGAGCCAGCATCTGGGGTTTGGGCTGTAATTCCCCGTCAGCCCCATAGCTGCGGGGAACCAGGGACTTTGTTGGGATTACCCTAGGCATCAGTTTAGCTTCCTGCCCCTGGCTTGGGCTCAGCACCTGAAGTAGTCTAGGGGGTAGGTGGTGCTGGTGGGGGCTGGGGCTTTTACCCAGACTGAGGTCACACCCAGAGCCAGAAGTCTTGGTGCCTGCTCTGGGCAAAGGTGCCAGCCTGTGTGACAAGAGCGAAACTCCGTCTCCAAAACAAAAACAAAAAACCTTGCATCATTTCAAGGGGCTCACACCTCCCTAAGGGCCTGGTAATTGGCTGGCTCTGGCCTGCATCTGGCCCCGAGGGTGTAGGTAACACCCCACCTTACCTGGTTTCTTCCTGCCAGGGCCAATCTTCAGACCTCAGGACTTTACAGCCTATCCCACCTCCCCTCTGGCCAGCCTTGAGCCCTTGTGGGTCCAGCACTTTTTCCAGGCTGTCTCCTGGTTGTCCTTCTGCCTCGAGGCCTGGCTCATGCTGTTCCCCCTCCCACTCTCCAAGACCCACAAGGACCACTCCACACCCAGCTCAGCCCCGTCCCCTCAGATAGTCCTTTCTCTTTCCTCAGGTGGCCAGGTGCATATCTTGGTGTGAGGACCTTCGCTGTATCTGGGAATGCCTACTGGTTACCTTGGTAACAGAGAACAAGGCATTTACCTGATATGAGTGTCTTGGTTCACTGTCTACATGGCTAGGGAGGGAATCAATAATAGGCTTTTCACTTGCTGCAAGGGCCGGTTCTCCTGGCCCCATGGCTCTAGGGATGGAGGACGCTGCAGGAGATGCAGCGCTTACTTCCTAGCTGAGGACTGTGGGTCATCTCAGGGCGATTTCACAGTCCCCACATGCCCCACCCCCTCAGCTCTGCAAATACCAAGCAGTGCAGCCTGCCTAGGGGATGATGGGCTCGAGAGTGCCCAGGTAGTGCCCAGAGTGCCCTTGGCAGGCCCCTCACCTGGCTGCTTCCACAGCTCTGTAGCAAGAGTTCTAACCTTTTTTCACCGTGAAGCCTGCTGAGAATAAGAGCTGTGGACTGTTTTCCCAGAAAGGCATGTACATGCTCTCCACACAAAACCTTTCATCGTGGCCAAGCACAGTGGCTGATGTGATCCCAGAACTTTGGGAGGCGGAGCCAGTCGGATCACCTGAGGTCAGGAGTTCAAGACCAGCCTGCCCAACATGGCGAAACCCTGTCTCTACTAAAAATACAAAAAATTAGCCAGGCGTGGTGGCAGCCACCTGTAATCCCAGCTACTCCAGAGGCTGAGGCAGGAGAATCACTTGAACCTGGGAGGCGCAGGTTGTAGTGTGGTGAGATCACGCCACTGCACTCCAGCCTGGGCGACAGGAGCGAAACTCTGTCTCAAAAAACAAAACAAAACAAAACCTTGCATCCTTTCAGGGGGCTCACACCTCCCTAAGGGCCCAGTAATTAAACCCTTTGGGCCTGAGGGTGAGAAACTTTGTCTCAGTTCTTCCCCAAGTGATCAGCCCAGGGGTAAGGAAGGAGAAGCCAGAAAGCAGGACCCATGAGAAGGGCCCCCTCCTGGAGTTTGAGGCCCACTCCCTCCTGCCCCTGCCTCTCCTCTGTGCAGGACTCCTCCCTGCTCTGCCCCACTCCTGGGGCCATAACCATGGGGAGCTGTGGTTTTCTACAGGCCCCTGGGCACAAAGTGGGCAGGCTCACGTGGAGGCGATCAGAGTAACATGGCAGGAAGTGAGGGGGAAAGCCGCCCTGGAACTGCGCCTCTCTGCCCCCTGACGTCACTGGCGTGCACTCCTCCCTCCCCTCAGGCAGTGGCATGAGTTCCATGTGAGCGCTCTCCTGCTCCCTCTGCTGCCTCTTTTTTTTCTTGGGGCTGCCATAACACTTTCCCTTCCCCAGCCCTGCCAACCTGGTGGGACATTGGGCTTCCCTCTCACAGGGTCCTGGGGACAGGCCCATCCTTTATCATACCCACAGAGAGACCGTTTTTTTCTTCAGAACCTGGGGAGCAGCCAGGTTCCATGAGTTAAATGCAGATCTGAACCAAGCTGGGATTGGGGTACACACTCTCCTCTACTGAAAAGTAGCTAGGGATTCCAACTAGGTGAGAAGGAGAGTGGGGCAGAGCCAGACCAGACAAGGACTGATCACCTGGAAAAAGCCTGCCATCAAAGGTCTTGGCAAATGCTGGGTGCAGTGGCTCACTCCTATAATAGCAGCACTTTGCGGGGCTGAGACAGGTGGACTACTTGAGGCAAGGAGTTCGAGTCCAGCCTGGGCAACATGGCAAAACCGCATCTCTACTAGAAATACAAAAATTAGCTAGGCATGCTACACTCCTGTCATCCCAGCTACTCAGGAGACTGAGGCAGGAGAATCACTTGAACTGGGGAGGCAGAGGTCGAAGTGAGCCGAGATTGTGCCCCTGCACTCCAGTCTGGGAGACAGAGTGAAACTGGCCTCAAAAAAAAAAAAAGAATATGGCCTTGGCAGAGAGGGGCCAGCCCAGTAGTGCCTTCCCTTGGGTTTCTCCTGGGTAGGCCTCTGCCATGAGGAGGTGCTTCCTTCTGCCTGTCCGTGGCCCACAGCAATGGAATGTCTGTTTCTGGGGGTTGGGTGGGAGAGTGCTGGCAGAACTGGAAACCTTCAGGTGGGGTTTTTTTGTTTTGTTTTGTTTTCGAGATGGAGCGTCGCTCTGTCACCCAGGCTGGAGTGCAGTGGTGGAATCTCAGTTCACTGCAACCTCTGCCCCCCTGGGTTCAAACAATTCTCCTGTCTCAGCCTCCTGAGTAGCTGAGATTACAGGCATGTGCCACCATGCCCGGCTAGTTTTTGTATTTTTTGTATAGATGGCATTTCACCATGTTGGCTGGGCTGGTCTCGAACTCCTGACCTCAAGTGATCCACCCATCTCGGCCTCCCAAAGTGCTGGGATTACAGGCATGAGCCACTGAGCCCAGCCCCTTCAGGGGGGTTTTGAGGCTTCACTACAATACTAGTTTCCTGTGGCTGCTGCAACAAATTACCACACACTTAGTGACTTAAAACAACCAAAATGTATTCCCTTACAGGTCTGAAGGCCAGAATTCTACAGTAAGTCCTACTGAGTCAAGGTGGGAGCAGGGTCGGTAGCTTCCGAGGCTCTGCGGGAGAATCCGTTTCCTGGCCGTAGAGGTGGCCTGCACTCCGCAGCTTGTGCTGCCCGTCTCGAATGACTGGAGTTTCCTGCTTCTGTCACTACACCTCCCACCCTCTCCATCACCTGCTCTGCTCTTACAAGGATCCGAGTGAGTACATCAACCCCAAAAGCCAAAGACCCTTAACTTCATTATATCTGCAAAGTTCCTTTTGCCATATAAGGTCATGTTCACTAGTTCCCGGGATTAGGATATGGGCATCTTGGGGGCATCAGCCTGCTACAGCTAGGCTGCAAAACTGTTACACCCTCCTGGTGTTTCAATGATTGGGAGAAAAAGGGTTGGCATTTTTTGCTTAGGGGTCCCTCTTAAACTTGTATCTGTAAGGTCGGGGGTCCCTCTTAACCTTGTGTTTTTGTTTTTGTTTTTTTTGAGGTGGAGTCTTGCTCTGTCATCCAGGCTGGCAGTGGCGTGATCTTGGCTCACTGCAATGTCTGCCTCCTGGGTTCAGGTGATTCTCCTGCCTCAGCCTCCTGAGTAGCTGGGACTACAGGCGCCCGCCACCATGCCCTGCTGTTTTGTATTTTTGGTAGGGACGGGGTGGGGGTGGGGCTAGGGAGGGGGGTTTTGGCTATGTTGCCCTGAGCTCAAAGTGATCCGCCTGCCTCTGCTGCCAAAGTGCTGGGATTACAGGCCTGCACCACTGCACCCGGCTGCTGTAAAGTCTTATTTCACACAGCTGAGACATGTTTTAGGAAGTTTGCTAAAAGACCCCTGGAGACCGCCTCATTGTGACCTCCCTGTTATTGTGTTTAATTTGATTGAGCTTTTCTGCCCTCCTGCTTTTCAGCTTCTCTAATAGTCTCCCATTAAACCAATTCTAAGAACCACCAAGAAGGGGAAATTTTTTCTTGAAAGCAGTAAAATGATATGGACTGTTAGAATGTAAAATATATGAAATCAGTCATTATATGTTAGTGCTGCTCTGACATAGGGACGTGTTATTGAGAAGCAACTTTTGCTTGGTTTTCAGAGAAATGGAATCATCGTATCGCTGATCTACGTAAACAAACTGAAGAATTGTCTGAAAGAAAATATGGTATGTCTAAACTGGAAAAGTCTTGTAATCTTAGGTTCATGGGCGTTTACACAGTGGAGTTACTGTTCATCATGGGGGTACCGTGGACAATCCCAGGGCTGCCGGCGAGTCATGCCATCCTTACATGTTTCTCCTTGTAAGGTGCTTTGTAGTGTCTACACACTTTGTTTCTAGATTGCTGCAAAGCTGAGGAAAAGTTGTATTTCTTTAGTTATTAGTTAGCATTTCTTTTAAACTTTCAGTATGGAGATTGGAAATTTATTTACATATTTATTGCAAAGCCCTGGATCTTAGGAATTTCATTGAATTATTTATTTATTTTTTTTGAGACGGAGCCTCACTCTGTCGCCCAGGCTGGAGTGCAGTGGCACGATCTCGGCTCACTGCAACCTCCGCCTCCCGGGTTCAAGCAGTTCTCTGCCTCAGCCTCCCGAGCAGCTAGGATTACAGGCACCAGCCACCACGCCTGGCTGATTTTTGTATTTTTAGTAGAGACGGGGTTTCATGATCTTGGCTAGGCTGGTCTTGAACTGCTGACCTCCTGATCCACTCACCTCAGCCTCCCAAAGTGCTGGGATTATAGGTGTGAGCCACCATGCCTGGCCAAATATTATTTTTTTAAATGAATTGTTTCTCTTAGTCTGCTTTGTTAAATTTGGAATTCATCTGGGCGTGGTGGCTCACACCTGTAATCCCAGCACTTTGGGAGGCCAAGGCAGGCAGATATCTAGGTCGGGAGTTCGAGACCAGCCTGACCAACATGGAGAAACCCCGTCTCTACTAAAAATACAAAATTAGACGGGTGTGGTGGCGCATGTCTGTAATCCCAGCTATTCGGGAGGCCAAGGCAGGAGAATCGCTTGAACCCAGGAGGCAGAGGTTGCAGTGAGGCGAGGTTGGCACCATTGCACTGTAGCCTGGGCAAAAAGAGCAAAACTCCATCTCAAAATAAATAAATAAATAAAATGTTCAGTACTCACCAAGGTGCCCCTGTTGTCTCTACTTTTATCTTGATGCATCACTGAATTGATGTTAGATTTCAAATTCATCATTACACTGATACTATTCTATCCTGAAGCCACCTTTATATAGTGATGAAAGAAATTAGCGATTTGTTATTATCCTCTCTCTGTTGGTATATATCAAATACTCACCTAAAAAAGAGCAACAACCAGTGGAAAACATGATGTTTTTATTTGGGTGACTATTTACTTGTAACCTACTAGCAAACTATAAAATTGTATGATATGCAGAATTTTAACTGAATTGCTTTAAGTGAACATTTAAACATGATAAACAATATTGATGGTATTTATGTTAATATACTTAAAATGAACATTTTTCTTCATCATGAGTAATATAACCTACTCCTCAATGAAAACCTAGCACTAAATTTGCTAATGTATTCAATAACATTTCCATAATATTTTTAGTTACATGCTTAAGGTTCTCTTAGTGTTTCTCCCACTTTTTAATAGCTTATGCCTTTTTCACCTTTGGTTTTTTTTTGGTTCATTTTAAAGCAAAAATCTCACAACATGTGATATCTGGAAACACTGTAACCTAGTGGTAAGACCATAGGCCCTGGGGACACAGGCTGGCCACGTCTCTTCTCCTGTCTGAGCTTTAGTATCCTCTTTTGTGGTCATGAGAACTGAAGATCTGTCCCGAAGATTTGATAAGATAGTAAAGTGCTTCACATAATACCAGACATATAAATACACAGTAAATGCTTCCTTCTTATATTTTTATTGATTGATTGATGGAGACAGAATCTTGCTCTCTTGCCCAGGCTGGAATGCAGTGGCGTGATAATGGTTTCTGCAACCTCCACCTCCTGGGTTCAGGCAATTCTCCTGCCTCAGCCTCCCGAGTAGCTGGGATTACAGGTGCCTGCCACCATGCCCAGCTAATTATTGTACTTTTAGTACAGACGGGGTTTTACCATGTTGGCCAGGCTGGTCTCGAACTCCTGACCTCATGATCTGCCTGCCTCGGCCTCCCAAACTGCTGGGATTACAGGTGTGAGCCACTGTGCCCAGCCTGTCCTTTCTCTTCACACCCGCAGTTCATGATGAAATATTAAATATGTACTAGTGGATATTACTTTGCTGAATATTGCCTAATGAATATTAAGTATTTATTCTCACCTTTCAGACATGAACTTATGAATTCAACAGGTGAAGATTTACAACTTGATAAATCAACTTTGTCAGGTACGTCTTCAGTCAAGTCAGATTAGAAGATTATGTGAGGTAATTAACACTTAACATTGATTTAATGGTAGCTTCCACATGAAATAGTATGCCTCTAAGTATTAATTATGTCCTAGGACAGGAGAATTCATGTTGTCAAAATTCTCATACTCTCTAGAACAATAAACTCATTTTCTTTTTATTAGTAAATATTGCATTTATGGGTAGACAAAACTGAAAGAACAATATTTGTTCTACTTTTGAGATGCAAGATTCATCTGGCATAATGCATTGAACAGGTTATTATTGAAGTCTACACCAGTCAACTGAATAAGCATTCATCAAATGTCCATGATATGCAGGACATAAGTTTTCTTTTAGAGTATGGAACCATGCATATTATCTTTTAATTAGATGATTTAGTTAGATATGTTTTTAAAGAACTAGAAATATAATTGTTTTTCTTGTTTTGGCTCTGGAGTGGAGTGGGGACGAAACAGAATGGATTCACACTTGTTTAGATTTACTAAAATGGAAAGATTGCAGCAAGATCATATCCCTAGTCTCCCTATAGCAAATGTCACCTGCTAGCTGTTTTTTTTTTTTTTTTTTTTTTTGGAGGTTGAAGTTTTGTTCTGTCACGCACGCTGGAGTGCAGTGGTATGATCTCAGCTCATGGCAAGCTCACCTCCTGTGTTCAAGCAATTCTCCCTGCCTCAGCCTCCTAAGTAGCTGGGATTACAGGCCTCTGCCACCACGCCTGCCTAATTTTTGTATTTGTAGTAGAGTTGGGGTTTCACCATGTTGGCCAGGCTGGCCTTGAACTCCTGACTTCAGGAGATTCACCCGCCTCAGCCTCCCAAAGTGCTTGGGATTATGGGTGTGTCACTGCACTTGGATTTAATGGGATATTTCACTACAGACTTCGGTAAACAGAATATTAGCATTTTTGGTGTTCTTTTTATTTTACTCATACTGTTTTTCTTTGGACTCAATCACAATAACAGAATTAAAGATCAAAGTGTAAAAGTTAAAGACCAGTACAGATTCAATAATTATTCTTTTCTACATACTGTGTTTAAATGATATCCCTTTTTCTTTTTTTTCTTATAGCTCGAGCTGTAAAAGCCAAAGGTCCGGTGATGATCCCATACCCTTTTTTCCAGTCTCATGTTGAAGATTTTTATGTAGAAGGCCTTCCCAAAGGAATTTTTTTTTTTTTTTTTTTTTTGAGATGGAGTTTTCACTCTTATCGCCCAGGCTGGGGTGCAATGGCGCAACCTTGCTGGTCACTGCAACCTCTGCCTCCTGGGTTCAAGAAATTCTCCTGCCTTAGCCTCCCAAGTCACTGGGATTACAGGTGCCCACCACCATACCAGGCTAATTTTTGTATTTTTAGTGGAGATGCGGTTTCACCATGTTGGCCGGGCCAGTCTCGAACTCCTGACGTCAAGTGATCTTCCCGCCTCGACTCCTGATATCAAGTGATCTTCCCGCCTCGGCCTCCCAGAGTGCTGAGATTACAGACGTGAACCCATGCCTGGCCAGGAATTTTGTTTTTTAGGAAGGCTTTCTACTAATGGAATTCCTGGCCTTGAGAGGATGTTACTTTAGAAGGAAAGGATTTTTTTGTTATTAAAAGGTAAGATTCCTGGATTCTTATTGGACTGTTGTCTCTGTTATGAGTAATCCATCTTTAGTCATTCACCACTAGGGTTGTATTTAATTAAGTCTGAGTTATTTTATGGTGATTTTGTTTTGTTTTGTTTTGTTTTTACCGAATTTTGTTCTCATTGCCGTGGCTTGAGGGCAATGACGTGATCTCAGGTCACCACATTCTCTGCCTTCCAGGTTCAAGCAATTCTCCTGCCTCAGCCTCCTTAGTAGCTGGATTTACAGGCATGCGCCACCATGCCTGGCTAATTTTTTGTATTTTTAGTAGAGATGGTGTTTCACCATGTTGACCAGGCTGGTCTAGAACTCCTGACCTTGGGTGATCCACCCGCCTCGGCCTCCCAAAGTGCTGGGATTACAGGCATGAGCCACTGCGCCCAGCCTGGGCCTGCTTCTTTCTCTTTTTCTTTTTTTTTCATTATCAGCTTAAAATTGGTGCCTTATTCAGACACAAGCAAAAGGACATTAGCCCAGCTTTGGAAATAGGTGAGAGCCCATATATGATTTTCCTAGTTTCTCCTCCCCCTTTGCTTTTTGCTCTCTTGTTAGTATATTAATTGTTTTCACTCTCTGAATCTTTTTTCCCCATTTCTTTGGCAGACATTTTTACTTGTCTTGGAAGAGTAGGTGAAGAGCTGTTTTTAGGACTCTTTGAAAGGGTACAGTATGGGTGACAGTCTTGGCTAATGGTAACATCCAGGGAGCTGGGGTCAGCGTGAGCTGGAATCAGTTCAAATTAGCAAAGCACTGGCACTCAGTAGCAGGAATACAAGTGACTGCAAAGTGTTAAACACATCTGGAAAGGGATACTGACATCATCCTCAGAATCTGTGGGGAGTTCACATAGCCAGTTAAGACCCATTCTTCTTTGACCCTGTAAAGATTCTTTAAAGAATAAATACCCTTAGTGGTTTTCTAGCCAGCTTGCCTGCTCATTTATCTTTGAGGACGACATGCCTTGTGGAGCTCCACAGGCCCCAGAGGGGTATGGATTCTGCATTTAAAAGTGCTGAAGCTGAGAGACTGGGTCTTGGTGGACCCCGAGAGGTCTGTTTCTCCTCTACTCATTGTTCCTTTTTTTCCCAACAGCTGGCATTGCTGTTTAAATGGGTTGTTCTTTGCTGTTTTAAGTTGTTTCATAGTGGTGTGTCAGGATTTGGGTTTTCTTAATACTTTCCAAGCTGGTGACTTGAGTGGTGGTTAGGGAGGAAATGTTTTAGGGCTGTTCTGGAGCTATTGAGGTCGGGTGTCTAGATACTCCCAGCTTGTCTGTTGAGGAGAATGCTGTTCTCATTGTGCTGCCTTTGGTGGTGCTGTGTGTGGCTCTTTAGATGTGCGTGGAGGTGAGCTGGGGGAGTTAATGAGATCTTTTTTAGGTGCTTTTCATAAAGTAGCCTGCACTACAGGATTCACTGTGACTTTTTTCCTTAACCTATGCATTTCTCTCTGCTAGCTTTTGCTGTCTTTCTCATGCCTTTGATTTTCCCAGCTCCTCTTAGTTGAATTAACCTAAGTGCTCTGCTATGGTTTAAATGTGTCCCCCAAAGTTTATGTGCTGGAAACTCAATCCTCAATGCAACAGTTGGGATGTGGGGCCTAATAAAATAGCCTTCATGAATGAGTTAATGTTGTTATTGTGGTAATAGATTAGTAATCACAGAGTGGGCTTATTATAAAACAGAGTTCAGCCCCTTTTGCCCTCTTGCTTTCTTGCACTCTCTTTTCCTTCTGCCTTCTGTAGTGGGATGATGCAGCAAGAAGACCTTTACCAGATGCAGGCCCCTCAACCTTGGACTTCCTAACATCCAGAACTGTTAAGAAATAAAATTTATTCCTTTCCTTTCCTTTTCTTCCTCCTTTCCCTTCTCTTCCCTTTTCTTCCCTTCCCCTCCCTCCCTCTCTCTCTCCCTCCCTCCCTCCTTCCCTCCCTTCCTCCTTCCCTCTTTCTCTCTTTCCCTTCCTTCCTTTCCTTCTTTCCCTTCCTTCCTTTCCTTCCCTCCTTCCCTTTTTCCCTCCTTCCCTCCTCCCTTCCTTTTTTCTTTCCTTCCTTTTTTCCTTTTTATAAATTATGCAGTCTGTGGTATTCTTTTATAGAAGCATGAAATGGACAAAGACTCCATTTTCAAGAGCAAGCACTTTTGTAGTTTCTGAGCGAACTATGACTGCAAAGGAAGTTCTATAGGTAGCCTCAGATCCACTACCTAGGAAGCATGCTACCAAGCAGACCTAGGATCTAGGATTTGATCAAGTGCTGGGCAACATGATACCTCTGCAATTTAGCACTTCCCTATATACCTCCAGTTGGCTCAGCCCATTAGGGCTAAAACTACCCCTCATATCCTAGTGTCTCTTGTAGGCAGAAGCCTTGCCTAAACCCTAAGCTGCTTGGCTCACATTCTCTCTTGTGCTTTTTTTGTAGGGGGTTCAAATATACACAAAAGAAATATGTTGAACCTCCATGCACCCAACCCGCAGATTAAGCAGTTACCTCCATTTTTCCAGATTTGTTTCATCTGCTTCAATCTCCCTAAAAATTTATGTTTGTACAGGAAAGACTGAATAAATAGCTAATTTTCCACCCTACCTCTCATCTTAAGTCACTTTTCAGAGTAGTAAGTTAGTGACCTAGTAACCTTCCCTCTAATGACCAGTAGTTTTTTTTTCTGAATACCATTATGAACTCATAGATTATTGTTTGCATTTGATGTATTTCAGGCCATTGCAGTCTTTATTGTTTTGGATGCTTAGATTGTCTCATCTAGGTTAATAATTATCTCTTCAAGTTGACTTTCATGTCTTTTTGAAGTGATCCTGTTGGACTTTGATGGCTTCCTTGCTTTCTGGCAAAACAGATGTTCCAGGATCAATATACTGCACCATACATGGAGTCAGCCATTTCTCTAGGGAACCTTGATTCCTTTTAGTAGAGAACACAGTTTGAGGTCTTGGACTGAATGACTTTTGTGAACCTCCTCTCCTGAGACTACAGCCTGCATCCCTGCATATAGCCCGTTTGGAGCTCTTGCTGGGCACCAACAGATCTCCTAAAACTGCTATATAGTTCTGCCTCACTCTTACAAAGATTCATCTCTTGAGAGTTTTGTGCTCTACCCCCAGATGTGGTCTTTCTGGTTATGAAGCTTTTGCTTCAGTCACCCTGAATTTTGCCAGCCCTATGCATGCTATACCTTGGATTGCCAACTTGCCCTCACTGAAGCCAGTTTCTCTGGTTAGAATAGTTGCCCAAACCCATGCCTAATACTCTAGTAAACAAGGTTCTACCTGGGCTTAGGTTAACTTTTGCTCCTTTGGGCCCTGTGTTCTACCAGCATTCCATTTATCTGAAACTCTCCCTCACCTTAAGAACTTATCTGTTCTTTAATGATTTACTGCTGCTTCCTGGGCTCGAAAGAACCCAGTTCAGGAGTTTCTGTTTTAGTTTGAGATCTTATAGGCCTGTCTCATCAGGTTGGTGTCAGCCCAGCTAGGATTAGGCAGAATTGGGTGGGGGCTGTAGTGCACTTTTGGCACAGCATGTACCTGTCTGACTAATTCTCTGTCTTTTCTTTCCTGTTGCAATTCATGGGTCTTAGCATCTTCTGAATGGTGTTTAGTAGGTCATCCTGTTGATTTCCTGCTAGGGAGTAGCATACTCTGGCTCTGTACCACTGGCCAAGGGACTTAAGGATAGATGAAGGGCTGCAGTTTTGTTAAATGGAACAATATGAAGAGATGGCATTGTTAAAAAAAAAAAAAAAAGGCTTGGCAGCAGGGCCCATTTGAATGGTTGGTCCTTGGCTCCTTTGTTGATATAGGCAGATCCTTGATGGGAATTTGGAATGATCCCAAATATTGTAGATCACTGGTACATCAAGTCATCCTCAAGGTTGTCTGTGTAACAGTCTTGAATGATATTTTGTCAGTCTTTGGAGATTCTCTGTATAGGGTTTAATCATTTAGTTATTTCAGTTGAGCCTGTTTAGTTTCTTTGCAAGGAGATAAGAAATGTGAAAGAGATGCAGATATTAGGGAAAAAAAGTCAGGAGCCTTGTTTCCCCATCCTCTACTTGGGTTCTGGAACTAGACTCATAGGTGAGTAGTGAGGAGCTGGGCCCAAGCACATTAATCCTAGATCTAGCTCTGCTTTGCCCTCGCTCCAGTTCTTGTATCAAATTCACTTCAAGCCACCCAGAGTAGTATGTAGAGGAGTCATTCAGGACCATGCTCATACTTCATTGTATCAAATGGGAGATCCAGTAATTTATAGCCTATTGTTTCTGGAGCCTGGAGATGGCTCTGCATAAGATTTGCCGAAGCAAATTTTATTACATTAGAAGAGAACCTAGCTGGCTGCATCCTACACTGGAAGCTTTTAGATGCTAATAAGGAGGTCATGTAAAGGTCACAGAATGACTCTGGAATCCATTCCCCGCCAAGAAAGAATAATGACATTCTATGTTGGCCTCTTTTCATTTCCCTTTGGTTTTGAGTAATAAATTCTCTCCTCACTTCCCAGTCGAACTGTTTGGGAGTCTCTATTCCCTAGAAAGACTCTGGTCACATACCCATCAGATTAAATTAGGTGAAAACTCTTTGGCCTTCATGAATGTTGAAGGATTTCAAAGGGCTAATGGAAATTCTTCTAGAAGTAACTGCAACCTCCGCCTTCCGGGTTCAAGCGATTTTCCTGCCTCAGCCTCCCAAGTAGCTGGGATTACAGGTGTCCACCACCATGCCCAACTAATTTTTGTATTTTTAGTAGAGACGGGGTTTCACCATGTTGGCCAGGCTGATCTAGAACTTTTGACCTCAGGTGATCCGCCCGCCTCAGCCTCCCAAAGTGCTGGGATTACAGGCGTGATCCACCGCGCCCAGTTAAACTTCAGTTTTTCATGTTCCATGCATTGGTCAGGGTCTTAGGGAGTGATTCATTCTAGCAGAACTCCCTGGATTTTAAGGCAGATGTTCCATTTATTAATTGACAAAGGAGGCATATTTCTCCCCTGGTAACCCAAAGATTTAGGTCATTTTCCCAGAGACTCCATTTCCACTGTGAGGGTTCTTGGAAAACTAAGCAGAGGATGAGGAAAAGTCTGTGAACAAGCTTGCTGGTCTCTCCCTGTCCTACAAAAGAGCATACCTCTTCTGTAACCAGAAGGCCCTTTTGATTAGTCAAGGCTGGACAGAGTGAGATTGGGGGTGTGTGTGTGTGTGTGTGTGTGTTTGTGTGTGTCTTGAGACAGGGTCTCACTCTGTCACCAAGGCTAGAGTGCAGTGGTGAGATCAGAGCTCACTGCAGCTTCCACTTCCTGGGCTCAAGCGATCCTCCTATTTCAGCCTCCAGAGTAGCTGGGACTATACGAATGTTTTACCGCACCCAGTTCATTTTCTAATTTTTTGTAGAGATGAGGTTTCACTGTGTTGCTCAGGCTGGTCTTGAACTCCTGGCCTCACGGAATCCTCCTGCCTTAGTCTCCCAGTGGGCTGGGATTATAGGTATGAGCCACCTCACCTGACCTGCGACGATTTTTCAATGATGTAATTTCTCTTTTACAGAGCCACCTAAGCTGAAGATTCCCTTGAGAACAAGTACTGTCCCTAGTTTCCCAGTGCTGGAATATAGAAAATGGATGGACAAGTAAATCCCACTCAGCACCCATAGTCCAGGCATGGGGACCTCAACACACCTGAGCCCCAGACATCACCTTTCATTGCGAGTAGCTCTGAGATGACACTTCTGCTGTTCCCAATTCCAGCATTAATTGGATTAGATAGTTATTTTATGAAGAATTTTCATATGCCACAATCCTGACCATATCTTCAAGTGAACAGAAAAATTCTATTAAAAAGTCAACCTTCTGTCTCACTCTGTTGCCCAGACTGGAGTGTAGTGGTGCAATTATGGCTCACTGCAGCCTCAACCTCCTGGGCTCAAGCAATCCTCCTGCCTCAGCCTCACAAGTAGCTGGGACTACAGGTGCTTGTCACCACACCTCACTAATTTTCCCATTTGTGTTATATGTGGATTCCACAGGACTGACTTTGAAAACTTGAGTATGCGTGGATTTTGGTATACACAGAAATGGGAGAGCTGGAACTAATCCCCCCATATACCAAGGGACAAATTGTATCTGTTTCTACAATTATACAGTAGGAGACATTATGTTCCATGACAATGGCAATTTTTAACGACAGTTTTTAATTGAGTGAAATTACCATAAAAATAATAATAGTAGCAGCTAATATTTACTGAGCTGTTACTAGGTGCCTATAAATAGCATAGATTTTTAAATTCTCCATAATTCTTCCTTATTTCACTTAACCACCCTATCTTAAATTACTCATGCTTGCCTCAGTAGCACACATACTTAAGTTGGAACAATAGAGAGATTGGCACGGCCTCTGTGAAAGAATGACATGCAAATTTGTGAAGCATTCCATATTTTTTTAAAAAAAGAGAAAAAAATTACTCCCAGATTTTCACTGTGTTTGTGCATATGACCTTTTGTTTAGGTTGAATTATATCCAAAGGTGAAATTTCCAGAAGTGAGATTACTGTGAGTCACAGGGCATGAGCATTCTTATTACCCTCGATGTAAATTGCAAAGCTTTCAGGCATGGTGGCTGTCAGCCTGTAATTCCAGCACTTTGGGAGGCTGAGGTGGGAGGATTGCTTGAGGCCAGGAGTTGGAGGAGGCAGTATAATGAGTCACTGTCTGTATGATTTAAAAAAAATTTCCAAGCTTTATGCTGGAAGGCTTATATACATTTTAAACACCACTAATACTACAAGAAAATGGCCATTTCACTGCACCTTCGCCCACACAGGTATTATAATTTAACAAGTTATTTTCTGTGTGATAAATGAAAGACCTCCTATTAGCTGGGATTACAGGCATATGCCACCATGCCTGGTTAATTTTTGTATTTTTAGTAGAAACGTGGTTTCACCATGTTGATCAGGCTGGTCTCGAACTCCTGATCTCAAGATCTACCCGCCTTGGCCTCCCAAAGTGCTTGATTACAGCTGTGAGCCATGTGCCCAGCCTATTTGTCACATATTTTATCTTTCCTTATGTTAGCTTATTAGCTTTATTTCTTTATTGTCCTTTTTTTTTTTTTTGAGATGAAGTCTCGCTCTGTCTCCTAGGCTTCAGTGTAGTGGCACAGTCTCAACTCACTGCAGCCTTGACCTCCTAGGCTCAGGTGATCCTTCCACCTCAGTAGTTGGGACTATAGGCACATGCCACTATGCCTGGCCAATTATTTTTATTTTTTTATTTTTACTAGAGAGGAGGTCTTGCTTTGTTTCTTAGGCTGGTCTGGAACTCCTGGCCTCAAGCAATCCCCCCACCACCCCCTCCCAAAGTACTGGTATTATAAGCATGAGCCACCATGCCTGGGGTATCTGTGTCTTTTCCATTTATTTATAGAGTTACTTTGTCTTTTACTAATTCAATGATCTGTTTAATCTTTTATTAAATTATAAAAATGATAAATACTTTTAAATAAGTGAAAAATGTCCTTCACTCTTTAGACCCATAATCTTATCTCAGGAAATAATTGCAGTTGAGAAAATGGGCCATATCCTTCAAGATACGTACATGGTGATTGAACATCACTTCATATTTTCATATTTCGTGGACATTTGTGCCAATACCTATTGATCTATCTTAATCCTTTTCATGGTTGCATAATATTTTATTATATGGATGTATCACAATTTACCAGTACCAGTCAACTGCTGGAGGCATTTAGGCTCCTTCTAATATTTGCTTTGAGCTCTTTATATAATTAAAAATTAACCCCCTCAGCCAGGTGTGGCAGCTCACACCTGTAATCCCAGCATTTTGGAAGGCTGAGGTGAGAGAACTGCCTGAGTGTAGGAGATCACCACCAACCTGGTCAACATAGTGACACTTTGTCTCTACTAAAAATTAAAAAAAAAAAATGAGCTACACGTTGCAGTGCACACCTGTAGTCCGAGCTACTGGGGAGGCTAAGACTGGAGGATCACTTGAGTCTAGAAGGTTGAGGCTGCAGTAAGCTATGATCACACCATTGCACTTTAGCTTTGCTAAGAGCAAGACTGCATTTCTTAAACAAAATAAAAATTAGATGGGAATATTGCTCAAGCCCTGGAGGTTGAGGCTGCAGTTAACTGTGATTGCACCACTGCAGTCCAGCCTAGGTGATAGAGCAAGACCCTTTCTCTAAAAATAAAATAAAATAAAAATTAACCTTCTATCATATTTCCCAGTAACACCTTCCCTCCTACATTTCTCCTAGAAGCCCTTAAATTTTGTTTTTCACATATCGTTTAAAACTTTTAAGTGCTGATGTCTGTCTGTGTCATCCCTCTTTTTTTTTTTTTTTAAATGTCTTTTTGTCACTTCTAGCTGGACCTACCATGAAAGACTTCTGAATCCAGGAAGAGAAACTGACTGGGCAACATGTTATTCAGGTACAAAAAGACTTGGACTGTAACTCAAAAATGATCAAATAATAGTGCATGCATCAAGTGCAATCGGAAGCTCTTCTGGAGAGGGAGAGAAGCTTCCAGTTAAGGTGACATTGAAGCCAAGTCCTGTAAGATAAGGAAGAGTTGTATGAGAGTGGGGAGGGAAGGGGGAGGTGGAGGGATGGGGATTGGGCTGGGATGGGATGGAGTGAGCTGCCCAGGCAGGGAAACCAGCACTATACAGACCTGAACAATGAAGATGGCACATTTTGTTCAGGGTATGGTGAATTAAGTGTGGCAGAAATGCTTTGTAGAGACAGTAATTTGCCTGTATGGAATTTTGCCCAAGAGACCTCATTACAGTTTCTAATTTTTTGATGTTATCATGCATCACTGCCCTTGTCAGATAGTATCATGATCACAATAACATCAAGCATAATATTTCATTGATTCTCACAAAAACAGGTGGGTGCCACAGTTATCCCCATTATATGCACAAAATGATGAAGACTTGGGGTTAATGAGCGATTTGCCCAAGCTCACCTGAATATTAGGACTGAGTCAAATGTTAGTCTGGTCTGACTTTAATGCTTGCCTTGTTCATGAGCACCATGCATTGCCTCTCCTATTAAGTTAAGCAGGTAGACAGGTGAGAGAAGAGCCAGTGTGATATCGGGGGAAATTCACCCCTGATATTTCATGTAGGTTCTTTTCTATTTTCCCTGAGTGTCAGCCAGTCTGAGAAATAAAGGGAAAGAGTACAAAAGAGAGAAATTTTAAAGCTGGATGTCCAGGGGAGACATCACACGTCGGCAGGTTCCGTGATGCCCCCCAAGCCGCAAAACCAACAAGTTTTTATTAGTGATTTTCAAAAGGTGAGGGAGTGTACGAATAGGGTGTGGGTCACAGAGATCACATGCTTCACAAGGTAATAAAATATCACAAGGCAAATGGAGGCAGGGCAAGATCACAGGACCACAGGACTGGGGCGAAATTAAAATTGCTAATGAAGTTTCGGGCGCGCATTGTCATTGATAACATCTTATCAGGAGAAAGGGTTTGAGAGCAGACAACCCATCTGACCAACATTTATTAGGCGGGAATTTCCTTGTCCTGATAAGCCTGGGAGCGCCACGCGAACCCAGGGCTTATTTCATCCCTTATCTATGACTGTAAAAGACAGCCGTCCCCAAAGCGGCCATTTCAGAGGCCTCCCCTTAGGGATGCATTCTCTTTCTCAGGGATGTTCTTTGCTGAGAAAAAGAATTCAGCAATACTTCTCCTATTTGCTTTTGAAAGAAGAGAAATATGGCTCTGTTCAACCCGGCCCACAGGCAGCCAGAGTTTAAGGTTATCTCCCTTGTTCCCTGAAATTGCTGTTATCCTGTTCTTTTTTCAAGGTGCCCAGGTTTCATATTGTTTAAACAACTTGTGCAGTTAACGCAATTATCACAGGGTCCTGCGGGGACATTCATCCTCAGCTTACGAAGATGACCGGATTAAGAGATTAAAGACAGGCATAGAAAATCACAAGGGTATTGATTGGGGAAGTGATAAGTGTCCATGAAATCTTCACAATTTATGTTCAGAGATTGCAGTAATGACAGGCCTAAGAAATTATAGAAGTATTAATTTGGGGAACTAATAAATGTCCATGAAATCTTCACAATTTATATTCTTCTGCTGTGGCTTCAGCCAGTCCCTCCGTTTGGGGTCCCTGACTTCCTGCAACACGTTTCTCTCTACTCACAGACTTCTGACCAAATGTGTGTGCAGAGTTTCTACACCAGTTCTCCAACTCTCTGGATGCCAACCGCGTATCCCACAATTCCATTCTGACACTACCTAGAGTTAGCACAGAACCCACAGGTTAGGGGCTCAGTCCCACAAGACCACCCTCACTTCAGATGCCAGTTGCAAGTCCTAGGTTGTCACCTGTATTTTGACCAACCAGTTAGAAATCAGGGTTTCCCATGACCCTCTTGTTGAGTTTAATTATTTACTAGAACAACTCACAGAACTTAGAAAAACAAGTTTTTTTTCTTTTCTTTTTAAGAGACAGGGCCTCGCTCTGTTGTCCAAGCTGGTGTGCAGTGGTGTAATCATAGCTTATTGAAGCCTCAACGTCCAGGGCTCAAGTGATTCTCCTGCTTCAGCCTCTCAAGTAGCTGGAATTACAGGGTTCCCACCACCACATTTGGCTAATTTCTTTTATTTTTTGTATAGATGGGGTCTTCTTATGTTGCCCAGGTTGGTCTCAAATTCCTAGGCTCAAGTGATTCCGCCCACCTCTGCCTCCCAAAGTGCTGGGATTACGGGCATGAGCCAGTGCATCTGGCCACCTTATTTTCTATTACTGGCTCAATGTAATGGCTCCATCTCAGGAACAGCCAATGAAAGAGATGCACAGGACAAGGTAAGTGGGGAGGGGCACAGAGCTTCCATGCCCTCTGTTGGGCACACTACCCTCCCAGGACCTCCTTGTGTTTAGCAACACAGAAGCTCTCCAAACCCTGCTGTTTGGGTGTTTATGGAGGCATGATTGATAAAATCACTGGCCATTGGTAGTTAAGTCAATCTCCAGTTCCTTTTGCCTCCTGGAGTTCAGCAGGTGAGGCTGAAAGTTCCAAGCCTCAAAAAATGTGGTTGGGGCCAGGTGCGGTGGCTCACTCCTGTAATCCTAGCAGTTTGGAAGGCTGAGGCACATGGACCACTTGAGGTCAAGAGTTTGAGACCAGCCTGACCAACATGGTGAAACCCCGTTTCTACTAAAAATAACAACAGTTAGCTAGGCATTGTGGCACACCCCTATAATTCCAGCTACTCGGGAGGCCGAGGCAGGAGAATTGCTTGAACCCGGGAGGTGGAGGTTGTAGCAAGCTGAGATTGTGCCATTGCACTCCAGCCTGGGCTACAAGAGCCAAACTCTGTTTTAAAAAAAAAATGTGGTTGCTTTCTCTGGCAGCTAGCCCTCCTCCTGAAGCAGTCTCGGAGCTTGCAGCCACCCCGTTAGCTCAACAGCATCCCACATGCATTCTTACCATGCTGCAGATCTGAAAGACCTTAGAGGCCCTTGTGTCAGGAACCTGGGACTAAGACTAAATATCAAAACAGAAAATGCTCCTATTACCTCTGTCACGAAGGGCTTTATAAGAGCTTTGGAAGCTCTATGCCAGGAACCACGGGCAGAGACCAAATGTATATTTCTTTTCTTATATCGGAGACAGAGTCTCACTCTGCCACTGAGGCTGGAGTGCAGTGATGTGATCATAGCTCACTGCAGCCTTGACCTCCTAGGCTAAAGCAATCCTCCCACCTTAGCCTCTCCAGTAGCTGGAACTACAGGCATGCATCACCATGTCCAGCTGATTTTAATTTTGTAAAGGCAGGATCTTCCTATTTTCCCCAGGCTGATCTCTAACTCTTGGCCTCAAGCAATCCTTCCTCTTTGGCCTCCCAAAATGTTGGGATTACAGATGGGAGCCCCCATACCCACCAATCACAAGGATCTTTATAAGAGAATGAGGTAGGAGAGTCAGAATTAGAGAAAGTGATGTGGTAATGGAAGAAGAGGTCAGAGAGGGAGATTTGAAGATGCTGCACTTCTGGCCTTGAATATGGAGTCACGAGGTAAGTCAAGGAATGGGGGTGGCTTCTAGAAGCTGGAAAAGGCAAAGGAGCACATTCTGTCTAGAGCCTCCCCCAGAAGGAATGCAGCCTCTCTGACACCTTGACTTTAGCCTTAATAGACCTAGTTGGGCTTCTGGCCCCCAGAACTGTAAGATGGTAGATTTGTGGTGTTTGATGCCACTAAATGTAGGGTACTTTGTTGTAGCAACAACAAAAAATGAACACGAAGCTGGGACCTCATGTTACAGTTGCTCACGCCTGTAATCCCAGAACTTTAGGAGGCTGAGGTGGGAGGATCGCTTAAGCCCAGGAGCTTAAGACCAGCCTGGGCAACATAATGAGACCTCATGTCTAAAAAAAATATTTTTTTAAAGGCCAGGCGCAGTGGCTCACGCCTGTAATCCCAGCACTTTGGGAGGCCGAGGAGGGTGGATCACGAGGTCAGAAGTTCAAGACCAGCCTAGCCAAGATGGTGAAACCCCATCTCTACTAAAAATACAAACATTAGCCAGGTGTGGTGGTGGGTGCCTGTAATCCCAGCTACTTGGGAGGCAGAGAATCACTTGAACCCAAAAGGCAGACATTGCAGTGAGCCAAGATCGCACCCTTACACTTCAGCCTGGGCGACCGAGACTCCGTCTCAAAAAAAAAAAAATAAAAGCCATGTGTTGTGGCATGCAGCTGTAGTCTCAGTTCCTAGGGTGGCTGAGGCGGGAGGATTGTTTAAGCCTGGGAGGTTGAAGTTGCTGTGAGCTGTGATTGCACCAGTGTACTCCAGCCTGGGCAATAAAGCAAGATCTTGTTTCAAAAAGAAAGAAAGAAATGAGCATGGTGGGAATGGGGACAGATGGCAGTGTTAAGTAGAGTGGTCAGGGTTGGCCTCATAAGTGAATATTGAGCAAAAGTTTGAAGCAGGTGATGGAGCTGGCCAAGGTGCTGAGGGAAGAGCATTGTAGGCTGAGTCAACAGGATAAAGGCATTAGGAGGAAACTCTCTGGTGTGTCTGAGGCTCTGGAAGGAGGCCAGTGGAGCAAAGAGATGGAGCGAAGTCAGCGAGGAGGCCAGGGAGTTGCTGGGCTGGGATCGGTACAGATCGTGTAAGCCCTGGGACGCTATTGCTGGGGCTTTGGCTTTTGCTCTGACTAAAATGGGAACCACCGAGGGCTTCTGAGCAGAGAGGCGACATGATCCGTCTCCTGATTTAAAAGCACGACCTGGCTGCCGAGTTGAGAAAGACTATGGGAAGATTTGGGTAGAAGCATGGGAGCCAAGCTGTGGCAACATCCCGGTGGGAGATGATAGTGATCCTGACGGGGTTCATGGTGGTGGTGAGAGATGGTTAGAGCCTGGATACATGTTGAAGTCAGTCAGTAGGATTTCCTGACAGACTGGATGTGAGCTGTGAGAGAAGGCAGTGGTCAAGGTTGAGTTTGATTCTGATTGAATTATTAAGTAATTTTAAAAAACACTACTGCTTTTCCCAATCCTACCAAGTAAAGGATGCTAGATAAAAGAAATCCCAAGTCAGGCCAGGTACAGTGGCTCACACCTATAGTTCCAACAGTTTGAGAGGCAGAGGAGATGGGAGTATGTTTTAAGGCCATGAGTTTGAGAGCAGCCTGGGCAACACAGCAAGACCTCCTCTCTACAAAAATAAAAAAAATAAATTTAATAAAATAAAATAAATATAGCCAGGCATGATGGTATGTACCTATGGCCCCAGTTACTCATGTGGCTGAGATGGGCAGATCTCTTGATTCTAGGAGTTTGAGGCCAGCTTGGGCAACATAGCAAGTCTTCTCTCTCTACAAAAATGAAAAAAATGCCTGACATGGTGATACTTGCCTGTATTCCCAGGTATGGGGGCAGCTGAGGCAGGAGCATCTCTTGAGCCCAGTTGGTCAAGGTTGCAGTGAGCTATGATTATACCACTGCACTCCATCCTGGGTGACAGAGTGGGACCCTGTCTCAAAATACAAATACAAATGAAATCTCAAGTCAGACCAGTCCCTTCTAGGCTATGTAGGCCTTGTAACCATACAGCTGCATGATCGGGTTTGTGTGGCTGTGGATGAGGAGACCCCTGTCCAATTGTTGGCTATGTAATCAGTTTATTTTTCAATATAGTAATCAAATATATTTCATCATACTTGATGGTCTCAGATATGTGTGGATTTTGGAATTCCCCTTGGAACAGGTTGTAACATCTTATTGGCTCCATAATTCCATAATTTTTTAAATCGGATCAGTTTTTAATAAGATCGCAATTTATATTAGACTACTTAATCGGTTTTGTTAATGACAAAATGAAATTGTGTTGTTTGCATTTTATCCAAGATGGGTGTCATATTGGGTAAATCTCATCAATACTTGAACAAATGCAAAATTAGAGCTTCTTTATCATGAAACACGATGTAATTCTTGAAGAAGATGCCATTTCTTTTTTTTCTTTTTTTTTTTAAGATAAGAGTCTTTCTCTTGTCACCCAGGCTGGAGTGCAATGGTGCGATTTTGGCTCACTGCAACCTTCACCTTCTGGGTTCAAGCAATTCTCCTGCCTCAGCCTCCCGAGTAGCTGGGATTACAGGTGCCCGCCACCATACCCAGCTAATTTTTGTATTTTTAGTAGAGATGGGATTTCACCATGTTGGCCAGGCTCCTCTGGAGCTCCTGACCTCAGGCAATCTGCCTGCCTCAGCCTCCCAAAATTCAAGGAGTACAGATGTGAACAACCACGCCCGGCCTCCATTTCTTTTTTGTAGTCTTTAATAAACAGCTGCTATCATTGCAGACTTGCTGTTTAGGCACTTAGGAATTTTTCACTAGAAGGCATGTAAATAAAGACCATGGGCAATTGTAATGAATTTCGCCTTCATTCTTTGACTACATGACTGTCCCCAGAGCTGTAACTTTATTGAATTTTTTAGAAGCCATTTAGCTAGCAACTGAGCCTAACCAGCCACTCACTGTCATTATTCAGTGCTCTTTTATTATTGTCTATTTCTCCTCCAACTTGGCTACACTCACAAAGTGATAAAAACTTGCATTTGTTTTCTTTCCTTTTCAGAGACAGCGTCTTGCTCTGTTGCTTAGGCTACAGTACAGTGACATGATCATGGTTCACTGTAGCCTCAAACTCCTGGGCTCAAGTGGTTCTCTCACTTCAGTCTCCCAAGTAGCTGGGACTACAGACATGTGCCACCATGTCCAGCTAATTTTTTATCATAGAGACGGGATCTTGCCATGTTGCTCCGACTGGGCTCAAAACTCCTGACCTCAAGTGATCCTCCTGCCTCAGCCTCCCAAAGTGCTGGGATTACAGGCAGGCATGACCACCTGTGCCCAGCCCCCTATTATTATTATTTTAAATAATAGCTTTATTAAAATATTCACATACCATTCACTTTATTTATTGAAATCTGCAATTCAGTAGGTTTTAGAATATTCACAGAGCTGTGCATCGATCACCACAGTCACTTTTAGAACCTTTCATTACCCTATAGAGAAATCCATACCCCTTAGCCACTACCTCCTACTCTCCCCACCTACCTTTGCCCCCAGCCTTAGGCAACCATTGATTAATTTTTTTGTCACTATAGATTTGCCTAATCTGGACAAATAGAATTGTACAATATGTGATCTTTTGTGGCTTTTTTTCCCTCTTAGCACAGTGTTTTCAAAGTTCCTTTATGTCATAGTGTGTATCAATATTTCATTCCTTCTATGGCAGTATTCCATGGTAGAGACACACTGCATTTTGTTTATCTGTTCATCAGTTGGTGGATATTTGGGTTGTTTCCATGTATTCCATGTATTGGTCATTATGAATAATGCTGCTATGAAGATTGTTGTACAAGTTTTTGTGTGGACATATATTTTTATTTTTCTGGGATATATGCCTAGGAGTGAAATTGTTGCATTATAGGATGACTGTACATTTAGCCTTTTGAGAAACTGCCAGAATGTTTTCTAACGTGGCTATACCAGTTGGGTGCAATGGCTCACACCTGTAATCCCAGCTACTCAGGAGGCTCAGCTAGGAGGATGGCTTGAGCCCGTGAATTCAAGACCAGCCTGGGCAAGATAGTGAAACCCCGTCTTGATTTTTTAAAAATCCAATTAAAATGACAAGAAAAGAAATACCCAAACAAAATGGTTACACAATTTTATGTTCCCACCAGTAATGTTTGTGGGTTCCAATTCCTCCACATCTTCACTGACATTTTTTTTTTCTAGATAGGGGCTTGCTCTGTCTCTCAGGCCGCAGTGCAATGATGCCATCACAGTTCACTGCAGCCGTGACCTCCCAGGCACAAGTGATTCTCTCATCTCAGCCTCCTGGGTAGCTGAAAATTACAGGTGTACGCCACCATGCCTGGCTAATTTTTAGATTTTTCTGTAGTGGTGGGATTTTACCATGTTGCCCAGGCTGGTCTCATACTCCTGGCCTCAAGTGATCTGCCCACCTCAGCCTCCCTAAGTTCTGGAATTACAGGCTGCCACCATGCCCGGCCTTCACCAACATTTGCCATTATCTGTTTTTTTTTTCTTCCTTTATACCTTAAAGCAGTATAAGAACAAGTGTCTTCAATTATAGGAAACAGTATAATCCCAGGGCTTTGGGAGGCTAAGACAGGAAGATGTCTTGATGCCAGGAGTTTTTTTTGTTGTTGTTGTTTTTGTTTTTGTTGTTGTTGTTGTTGTTGACAGTCTCGCTCTGTCACCCAGGGTGGAGTGCAGTGATGGGGTCCACTGCAACCTCCACCTCCCAGGTTCAAGTGATTCTCCTGCCTCAGCCTCCCGAGTAGGTGAGACTACAGGCACACGCCACTACTGCCCAGCTGATTTTTGTATTTTTGATAGAGTCAGAGTTTCACCGTGTTGGCCAGGCTGGTCTCGAACTCCAGACTTCAGGTGATTTGCCTGCCTTAGCTTCCCAAAGTGCTGCGATTACAAGCATGAGCCACCATGCCCAGCCTGATGCCAGGAGTTTTAGACTAGCCTGGGCAACCTAGCAAGACCTTGTCTCTACAGAATATTTAAAAATTAGCCAAATGTGGTGGTGCCTGTGTATAGTCTCTCTCCCTCTCTCTTTTTTTTTTCTAACTTTTTGTGACATGGTCTGGCTCTGTCACCCAGGCTGAAGTGCAGTGGTGTGATCATGGCTCACTGCAGCCTGAAACTCCTGGGATCAAGTGATCAATCCTCCCACCTCATCCTACCAAGTAGTAGGGACCACAGGTGTGTGCCACCCAGGTCTTGCTATGTTGTCCAGGCTGGTCTTGAGCTCCTGGCCTCAAGCAATCCTCTCACCTTGGCCCCCCACAGTGCAAGGATTACAGGTATGAGCCACCATGCCTGGCCCCTACCCTGCCTACTGAGAACCAAAGGAAGGATCCAAATTCTCCTTAGCTCAACTCGAGCCATTTCCTGATTGCTTCATCAGCGAGGAGCTGGTTATTGGGCTGTCCAGGCCTCCCAAGCAGCACAGAAATGAGGTGAAGGAGTTTTCCTGTTGCTCCACTCTGTAAGGAGTTGGAGGGTGATGTTTACTCGTTTGCAGAGAGAGATGCCTTGTAGGCACCTCAGGATGGAGAGGGCCCTGATTCCAATGTCCTTTTTTTCTTCAGAAACAGGACCTTGCCCTGTCACTCAGGATGGAGTTCAGTGGTCCTATCATGGCTCATTATAGCCTCAAACTCCCAGGCTCAAGCAATCCTACCATGTCAGCCTTCCCAGTAGCTGGGACTACAGGTAAGCATCGTGACACTCAGTGAATTTTGTTTTTATTTTGTTGTAGAGATGGGACCTCAGTATGTTGCCATGGCTGACCTTGAACTCCTGCACTCAAGGGATTTTCCTACCCTGGCCTCCCAAAGTATTGGTATTACAGGCATGAGCCATTGTGCCCACCGTCTCTGGTTCTTAACCTTCTGCCTCCCTCTTCCAGTTTTAAAGAATGCTTGTAATTACATGGGCTCTCCTAGATACTCCAGGATAATCTTGTTTTAAGGTCAGCTGATGAGCAACATTAATTTTATCTGCACTCTTAATTCCCCCTTCCTCTGTAACTGTGCTGTGTAACATAGGACATGAGCAATTGGTGGCGGTGGGGGTTATTACTTTGGCCACCACAGTAACTATTTTATGCCAGGTACTCAGCTAAGCACTGGTGAATTAAGCATGAATAACACACACTCCCTAATCTCCATCCATTCATGGGAGGAGCACTTCACCTGCCATGCTCCTGAGAATCTCGGGAGTCATAGAAGTCTTCTATGAGGAGGTGATGCCAAAGCGGACAAGTGACAGAGGAGTCAAAGCTAGCTAGGAAGAGAGTAGAGGTTTAAGGGGAAGCATATTATAAGCAGAGGATATTACCCACTTCAGAGACTCCCAGAGGAGAAAGAGTGTGCGTTCAAGGGGCAGATGAGGCTCAGTTGGACTCCATAGCAGATGAAATGGAGAGGGGCAAGCAGTGAGGCTGCCTTGCAAGGCAGGGCAGAGCAGGGGCTGTTAAGGAGTTTGGACTTAATCCCTGAGGCAAGGAGAAGTGATGTAAATGGGGGAGTAACATGATGAGATTCATAGATTAGAGACATGGCTCAGGCTGCTGTAGAGAAGGCACCGGGAAGAGCAGATGGCTCAATGTGTGTGCAGAAGACCTCTCCCTGAGTTTAGGGAGAGGTTTTTAAAACAGAAGAAGTTTGAGTAATTTAAATGATGATGGGAAGGAGCTAAAAGTGGGGGATAGGTTAAAGATACAGGAAAGTGGGAGGAAGAACTGACAAGTGAGGTTCCAGAGAGGGCAGGAGAAGAGGAGATTCCCATAGGGGGATTAACACTTTCTTTTCTTTTTTCTTTCTAAGACAGGGTCTCACTCTGTCGCCCAGGCTGGAGTGCAGTGGCACAATCTTGGCTCACTGTAGTGTAGACTTCCCAGGCTCAAGGGATTTCTCCCACCCCAGACTCCCAAGTAGCTGGAACTACGGGTGTGCACCACCACCACACCTGGCTAATGTCTCTTTTTTTTGGTAGACACAGAGTCTCACTATTTAGCACTGATTGGTCTCCAACTCCTGGCCTCAAGCGATCCTCCTGCCTAGGCTTCCCAAATTGCTGGGATTACAGGCATGAGCCACAATGCCTGGCCTCTGCTAGTTCCGTATTCTCTAGAGTTGTCTTTACTTTGTGCTAGTGTGTCCCTCATTGTGCTGATCCTCTGTAAAAATTAATACCCTTTTTTTTTTTTGAGATGGAGTTTCACTCTTGTTGCCCAGGCTGGAGTGCAATGGCGCTATCTCGGCTCAGCGCAACCTCCACCTTCTGGGTTCAAGCAATTCTCCTGCCTCAGCCTCCCGAGTAGTTGGGATTACAGGCATGTGCCACCATGCCCAGCTAATTTTGTATTTTTAGTAGAGATGGGGTTTCTCTGTGCTGGTCAGGCTGGTCTCGAACTCCTGACCTCAGGTGATCTGTCTGCCTTGGCCTCCCAAAGTGCTGGGATTACAGGCATGAGCCATTTTGCCTGGCCAAAATTAATACTTTTTATATTAAATTTACATATATATATATATATATATATATATATATATATATATATATATATATACGTTTTTTCTTTTTGATACCGGGTCTCACACTGTCACCCAGGCTGGAGTACAGTGGCACAACCTCTGCTCACTGCAGCCTCCACCTGCCAGGCTCAAGCAATTCTCCTGCCTCAGCCTCCCGAGTAGCTGGGATTACAGGTAAGTGCCACCACACCCAGCTGATTTTTGTGTTTTTTGTAGAGACGAGGTTTCGCCATGTTTCCCAGACTGTTCTCAAACTCCTGAGCTCAAAGCAGTCCACCCACCTTGGCCTCCCAGAGTTCTGGGATTACAGGTGTGAGCCATCTTGCTCATTCTAGTTTAAACTTTTGAGTGGTTTGTGTCTCCTGATTGGACTCCTACAAATACAGAATTGATGCTAGGAAGGGTACCAGGAGATAGACGCACACAGATGGGATTTGGGAATAGGTTTGGTTATCCAAGGAGCAGTGCTGAGCTCCTTGCAATGGGATATGGGATGCTGGTGATTTCCAGGATGTGAGCTCACAATGACTCAAGCTGCCACATACTGTTGATTGTGAAATGCCAGTTGAAGCATATGTCCTGCGAGCTTAGGGGTGCTACAAGTTGACCACTGCAGCAGTAAAGATGACTCTGAAGAATGGCGTGGGTTGGTTCCTTTCAAATGCACTTGAGCAGCGGTCTCCAACCACAGGGCCACAGAGCTGGAGGTGAGCAGCAGGCGAGTGAAGGGAAACTTCATCTGTATTTCTAGCCCCTCCCATCGCTTGCATGACCACCTGAGCTCCATGTCCTGTCAGATCAGCAGCAGCATTAGATTCTCACAGGAGCACAAACTCTGTTGTGAAGTGTGCATGCGAGGGATCTAGGTTGTGTACTCCTTATGAGAATCTAATGCCTGATATTCTGTTACTGTCTCCCATCACCCCAGATGGACAGTCTAGTTGCAGGAAAACAAGCTCAGAGATCCCACTGAGTCTACGTTATAGTGAGTTGTAGAATCATTTCATTATATATTACTATGTAGTAATAATAGAAATAAAGTGCACAATATATGTAATGCACTTGAATCATCCTGAAATTATTCCCTCATTCCCAGTCTGTGGAAAAATTGTCTTCCACACATTCACTCTGTTTTTTGGTAGAGGCAGGGTCTTAATATATTGCCCAGTCTGATCTCAAACTCCTGGCCTCAAGTAATATACCTCTCTCAGCCTCCCAAAGTGCTGAGATTACAGGCATAAGCCACCACCCTCAACCAAGACTTTCTTAAACCAAATAAAAATTAAGTGAGATTACTTGAGCCCAGGTGGTCAAGGCTGCAGTGAGCCTGATTGCACCACTGCACTCCAGCCTAGGTGACAGAATGAGACTGTCTCAAAAAATAAAATAAAATACAAATTAACCCTTCATGACATTCCCAGTAACTTCCTAAGTGCTCCCCACAAGTCTTTGAATTCTGTTTAATTCTCACATAACATTTAAGACATTTAAGAACTTATGTCTGTCTGTGTCATCCCTTTATGTCAAAAGATGTCTTTTTGTCACTTCCAGCTGGATCTACCATGAAAGACTTGTGAATCCAGGAAGAGAGACTGACTGGGCAACATGTTATTCAGGTACAAAAAGATTTGGACTGTAACTTAAAAATGATCAAATTATGTTTCCCATGCATCAGGTGCAATGGGAAGCTCTTCTGGAGAGTGAGAGAAGCTTCCAGTTAAGGTGACATTGAAGCCAAGTCCTGAAAGATGAGGAAGAGTTGTATGAGAGTGGGGAGGGAAGGGGGAGGTGGAGGGATGGGGAATGGGCCGGGATGGGATAGCGCAAACTGTCCGGGAAGGGAAACCAGCACTGTACAGACCTGAACAACGAAGATGGCATATTCTGTTCAGGGAATGGTGAATTAAGTGTGGCAGGAATGCTTTGTAGACACAGTAATTTGCTTGTATGGAATTTTGCCTGAGAGACCTCATTGCAGTTTCTGATTTTTTGATGTCTTCATCCATCACTGTCCTTGTCAAATAGTTTGGAACAGGTATAATGATCACAATAACCCCAAGCATAATATTTCGTTAATTCTCACAGAATCACATGTAGGTGCCACAGTTATCCCCATTTTATGAATGGAGTGATGAAAACCTTAGGAATAATGAATGATTTGCGCAGGCTCACCTGGATATTAAGACTGAGTCAAATGTTGGGTCTGGTCTGACTTTAATGTTTGCTTTGTTCATGAGCACCACATATTGCCTCTCCTATGCAGTTAAGCAGGTAGGTGACAGAAAAGCCCATGTTTGTCTCTACTCACACACTTCCGACTGAATGTACGTATGGAGTTTCTACACCAGATTCTTCAGTGCTCTGGATATTAACTGGGTATCCCATGACTTTATTCTGACACTACCTGGAGTTAGCACAGACCCCACAAGTTAGGGGCTCAGTCCCACGAGGCCATCCTCACTTCAGATGACAATGGCAAGTCCTAAGTTGTCACCATACTTTTGACCAACCTGTTACCAATCGGGGGTTCCCGTAACTGTCTTCTTGGGTTTAATAATTTGCTAGAACAGTTTACGGAACTCAGAAAAACAGTTTATTTTCTTTTTTTCTGAGAGAGAGGGTCTTATTTTGTTGCCCAGGCTGGTGTGCAATGGTGCAGTCATAGCTCATTGCAGCCTTGATTGTCTGGGTTCCAGTGGTTCTCCCACCTCAGCCTCCCTAGTAGCTGAGACTACATGCCTGCACCACCACATCTGGCTAGTTTCTTTTATTTTTTGTATAGATGGGGTCTTGTTGTGTTGGCCAGGCTGGCCACAAATTCCTGGTCTCAAGTGATCCTCCCACCTCAGCCTCTGAAAGTGCTGGGATTACAGATGTGAGCCACCACATCTGGCCAGTTCATTTCCTATTACTGGTTCATTGTGAAGGATACATCTCAGAAACAGTCAATGAAAGAGACGTGCATGCTGGATGCAGTGGCTCATGCCTGTAATCTCAGCACTTTGGGAGGCCAAGGTGGGAGGATCGCTTAAACTCAGGAGTTTGAGACCAGCCTGGGCAACATGGTGAAAACCTGTCTCTATAAAAAATTAAAAAATAATAATAATAACTGGTGTGGTGTTGTGCACCTAGAGTTCCAACTACTAGGGAAGCTGAGATGAGAGGATACCTTGAGCTGGGGACTGGGGAGGCTTAGGTTACAGTAAGCTGAGATTGTGCCACTGCACTCCAGCTTGGACAAAAGAGCCTGATCCTGTCTCAAAAAAAAGAAAGATACCCAGGGCAAGTTAAGTTCGGAGGGGCACAGAGCTCCCATGCCCTCTGTTGAACATGCGACCCTCCCAGCATCTCCTGTGTCCAGCAACCCTGAAAGCTCTGCAAACCCCTTTCAGGGTGTTTATGGAGGCTTTATTATGCAAGCATGATTGATAAAACCTTTGGCTGTTGGTGATTAAGTCAGTCTCCAGCCCCTCTTCCCCCTGGAGTTCAGTGCATGAGGCTGAAAGTTCCAAGCCTCTTACCATGTGGTTGCATGGTAATCAGCCCTCCTCTTGAAGAAATTTAGGAGCTTGCAGTCACCCAGTCATCTCAACAACATCCCCAAATGCATTCTTACCATGCTGGAGATCCCAAAGTTCTTAGAGGCTCTTGTGTTAGAAACCTGGGACCAAGACCAAATATTAAAACAAAAGATGCTCCTGTCACATCTATCACTGAGGTCTTTGTAAGAGCTTTAGAAGCTCTGTGCCAGGAACCAGGGACAGAGATTAAATATATATTTCTTTTCTTTTTTTTGAGACAGAATCTTCCTGTGCCATCCAGGCTGGAGTGCAGTGATGTGATCATAGCTCACTATAGCTTTGGCCTTCTGAGATCAAGCAATCCTCCCATCTCAACCTCCCAAGTAGCTAGGACTACACACGCATGTCACCCATGCCCAGATCATTTTTGTAGAGTCAGAGTTTCACCGTGGTGGCCAGGTTGGCCATGTTGGCCAGATGGGGTCTTCTTTTGTTGCCCAGGCTGGCCACAAATTCCTGGGCTCAAGTGATCCTCCCACCTCGTCCTTGTAGAGATGAGATTTAGTTATGTCGTCCAGGCTGATCTCAAACTCCTGGGCTAAATCGATTGTCTCACCTCAGCCTCTCAAGTATGTTATGAAGGTTATATGTTAGGAAGGGTCCCAGGAGGTAAACCCACACAGATGGGATTTGGGCATAGGTTTGGTTTCCCAGGGGGCAGTGCTGAGCTCTTTGCCAGTGGGAAATGGGATGCTGGTGATTTCCAGTAGGTGACCTCACAGTGACTCAAGCTACCACTTACTGTTGATTGTGACGAAATGCCAGCTGAGGCACATGCCTTGGGAGCTAAGTGGTTGCTGCCCTTGACCACTGTGAAGACTGGTGTGGGAAGGGTCGTTTTGGATGCACTTGAGCAGGGGTCCCCAACCCCTGAGCCATGGAGCCGCAAGGAGCCACACAGCAGGAGGTGAGCGGTGTCGAGTGAGGGAGTGAGGGAAGCTTCGTCTGTATTTACAGCCACTCCCCTTTGCTCACATTCCCGCCTGAGCTCCACCTTCTCAGATGAGCAGCAGCATTAGATTCTCATAGGAGAACGCACCCTGTTGTGAACCGTGCATGTGAGGGATCGAGGTTGCGCTGTCCTTATGAGAATCTAATACCTATTGATCTGTTACTTTCTCCCATCACGCTCAGGTGGGAACATCCAGTTGCAGGAAAACAAGCTTAACACGCCCACTGATTCTACATTATGGTGAGTTCCATAATTATTTTATTATATATTACAGTGTAATAATGGAAATAAAGTGCCTAATAAATGCAAATGTGCTTACATCTTTTGGCCCAGCTCCTACCTCCCGGCAGCCTCTCCAGGCCCAGAACTTTCTCCAGTCAGCCTCTACAGACCAAGCTCATGACTCTCAATGGCCTATTTAGGCCCATACCCTACGTCACGGCAGCCTCCGCAGATGAGGCTACTGCCTCACAACAGCCTCCACAGGCACAGCTCCATCGTTACAATGGCCTCTTTAGACCCAGCTCCTGCCTCCCAGCCTTCTCTCCAGGCCCTGAACTTTCTCAAGTTGACCTCACCAGGCCCAGCTCATGCTTCTTTGCAGCCTCTCCAGGCCCAGCTCCTGCATCTTGGTGGCCCCTCCAGGCCCAGCCTCTGCCTCCCGTCAGCCTCTACAGTCCCAACGTCTGCCTCACAGCAGATTCTTCACGCCCAGCTTCTACCTCACTGTGGACCCCCCAAGCCAAGCTCCCAACCTTTCAGCAGCTTCTACACACCCAGCTCCTGCCACCCAGTGGCCTCTTTAGGCCAAGCTCATGCTTCACAAGGGCCTTTCCAGGCCCAACTTTTGTCTCATGGCAACCTTCCCTGGCCAGATTCCTGCCTGTCTCCCAGCAGCCTAGACAGGCCCAGGTCTTGCCTCACACTGGCCTCTCTACATCCAGCTTATGCCTCACGGTGGCCTCTCCACGGCCAACTCCTGTCCCAGGACATCATCTCCGGGCCCAAAACTTACTCAAGTCAGACTCTCTAGTCCCAACTGCTGCCTCCTGGTGGCCTATGAAGGCCCAAAATCTCCTCAAGTTGACCTGTCCAGGCCCAGCTCCTGCCTCCTGTCAGCGTCTACAGGCCCAACCTCTGCCTCATGGGGGCTTCTCCAGGCCCACCTCTTCCTCTTGGCTGGGTCTACAGGCACAACTGCTGCCTCACAACAGCCTTTTTTGGCCCAGTTCCTGTCCAGCTAATGGCGGCCAATGTAGGCCCAAAACTTCCTCAAGTCAAACTCTCCAGGCCCACCTTCTGCTTCCCGGTGGCATCAACAGGCCCAGCTTTGACTTGAGAACAGCCTCTGCAGGCCCTGCTCTTGCCTCCCAGGGGCTTTTTCCAGGCCCAGCTCTTGCCTCATGGCAGCTGCCCCAGGCCAAATTTCTGCCTGCCTGCCAGCAGCCTCAACAGGCACAGCTCCTCCCTCACAGTGGCCCATTTAGGCCCAACTTATGACTGTGAGGCCATTTCCAGGCCTAGTGCCTGCCTCGTGGCTGACTCTTGAAGCCCAAAACTTCCTCAAATCAGGCTTTTGCCCAACTTCTGTCTACTGTCGGACTCTACAGGTCAGCCTCTGCCTCACAGTGGACCCTCCAGACCCAGATGGTGTCTCACTGTGGCATCCTCAGGTGAAGCTCCTGCCTTTCGGCAGCCTCTCCAGGCCCAGCTCCTCCTGCCTCCCAGTGGCCTCTTTCGGCCCAGCCCAGCTCATGCCTCCCGGCGGCCTTCCCAAGCCCCGCTTTTGACTTTCGGTGGCCTCTGCAGGCCTCGACAAGGCCCAGCCTCCTGCCTCCCGAAGGCCTGCACAGGCCCAGCCTCTGCCTCACAGCGGACTCTCCACGCCCAGCTAGCTGTTGCTTCACTGCGGCCTCCCGAGTCCAAAGCTCCTGCCTCTCGGCCGCTTCGGCAGGCCCAGCTCCCGCCTGCCAGTGGCCTCTTCAGGCCCATGGGGCTCATTCCTGACAACGGCCTTTCCAGGCCCAGTTTTTCCCTTCCAGCGGCCTCTCCGGGCCCAGAACCTCCTCAAGTCGGCCTCTCCAGACCCACTTGCACCCTCCGGGCGTTCTCTCCGGGCCCAGCTCTTCTTCCTGGTTGGGTCTCCAGGCCCGATTCCTGCCTCTCAACAACCTCTTTGGACTCAGTGCCTACCCATCTCCTGGCGGCCTTGGTCGGTCCACAGCTTCCTCAAGCCAAGCTCCCCAGGCCCAGGTCAGGCCTCACGGTGGCCTCTCCAGGATGAGCTCCTGCCCTCCGATGGCATCTCCAGGCCCCAAATGGTCTCCGGTCGGTGGGCTCCTCCACGCCAAGGTTGGGCCTCCCGGCGACCGCCGCAGGCCCAAGTTGTCCTGAAGTCGGGCTCTCCCGGCCCTGCCTCCCAGCAAGTAAGCAAGCTCTTTTGGCTCAACTCCTGCCCAGCTCCCAACCGCCTTTGTAGGCCCCGAACTTTCTCCAGCCAAGCTCTGAGGGCCCACCTCCTGCCTCCTGGTGGCCTGTACAGTTCTAGCACTGGTTGGAGAACAGCCTCTGCAGGCCCCGCCCTTGCCTCCCAGGGGCCTCTCCAGGCCCAGCTCTTGCCCCCACGGCGGCCTCCCGGGGCCAAGTCCCTGCCTGCCTCCCAGCAGCCCGCGTGCGGCCCAGCTCCTCCCTCACGGTGGCCTGTTGATGCCCAACTCATGCCTCTGGCACCCTGCCCAGAGGCGTGAGCCCCTGCCTCACACTGGCTCCTCCCACGCTGAGAGAGGTCAGTGTGAGCCCTTGCCTCACACCGGCCCCTCCCACGCGGACAGAGGTCAGCGTGAGCCCCTTGCCTCACACCGGCCCCTCCCACGCTGAGAGAGGTCAGTGTGAGCCCCTTGCCTCACACCGGCCCCTCCCACGTGGACAGAGGTCAGCGTGAGCCCCTTGTCTCACACCGGCCCCTCCCACGCTGAGAGAGGTCAGTGTGAGCCCTTGCCTCACACCGGCCCCTCCCACGCGGACAGAGGTCAGCGTGAGCCCCTTGCCTCACACCGGCCCCTCCCACGCTGAGAGAGGTCAGCCCGAGCCCCTTGCCTCACACCGGCCCCTCCCACGCGGACAGAGGTCAGCCCGAGCCCCTTGCCTCACACCGGCCCCTCCCACGCTGAGAGAGGTCAGCCCGAGCCCCTTGCCTCACACCGGCCCCTCCCACGCTGAGAGAGGTCAGCCCGAGCCCCTTGCCTCACACCGGCCCCTCCCACGCTGAGAGAGGTCAGTGTGAGCCCTTGCCTCACCCCGGCCCCTCCCACGCGGACAGAGGTCAGCCTGAGCCCCTTGCCTCACACCGGCCCCTCCCACGCGGACAGAGGTCAGCCTGAGCCCCTTGCCTCACACCGGCCCCTCCCACGCGGACAGAGGTCAGCCTGAGCCCCTTGCCTCACACCGGCCCCTCCCACGCTGAGAGAGGTCAGTGTGAGCCCCTTGTCTCACACCGGCCCCTCCCACGCGGACAGAGGTCAGCGTGAGCCCCTTGCCTCACACCGGCCCCTCCCACGCTGAGAGAGGTCAGCCTGAGCCCTTGCCTCACACCAGCCCCTCCCACGCGGACAGAGGTCAGCGTGAGCCCCTTGCCTCACACCGGCCCCTCCCACGCTGAGAGAGGTCAGTGTGAGCCCTTGCCTCACACCGGCCCCTCCCACGCGGACAGAGGTCAGCGTGAGCCCCTTGCCTCACACCGGCCCCTCCCACGCTGAGAGAGGTCAGTGTGAGCCCTTGCCTCACACCGGCCCCTCCCACGCGGACAGAGGTCAGCGTGACCCCCTGCCTCAACAGGCCACCGTGAGGGAGGAACAGGATCGCACTCGGGCTGCTGGGAGGTAGGCAGGGACTTGGGCCTGGGAGGTCGCGGTGGGGCGAGAGCTGGGCCTGGAGACTCCCCTGGGAGGCAACAGCGGGGTCTGCAGACACCCTTCTCCAGCCGGAGCTGGGACTGTTCAGTCACTGGGAGAAGGGATGTGGGTCTGAAGAGCTTGGTTGCAGAAACTTTGGGGTCTACAAACGCAGGCGGGAGCTGAGCCAAAAGAGCTTGTTTGCTGGGAGGTGGGAGATGCAGCCAGGAGGAACAGCTGGGCAATGCGGGAGGCAGAGGCCAGGCCTCCTCAAGTTGGCCTCTCAGACCCACTTGCAGCCTCCCGGCGCCCCCTCCGGGCCCAGCTCTTCCTCCCGGCTGCATCTCCAGGCCGGACTCTGGCCCGACTCCAGGTCCCAACAACGTCTTTGGACTCAGCTCCTGCCCAGCTCCCAGCGGCCCTGGTAGGCCCACAACTTCCCTAAGCCAAGCTCCCCAGGCCCAGCTCAGGCCTCGCGGTGGCCTCTCCAGGCTCAGCTCCTGGCCCTCCGATGACATCTGCAGGCCCCAAATGGCCTCCGGTCGGTGGGCTCCTCTAGGCCCAGCTTGGGCCTCCCGGCGGCCTCCGCAGGCCCAAATCGTCCCGAAGTCAGTCTCTCCAGGCTTAGCTCCAGCCTCCCGGCGGCCTCTGCAGGCCCAAGTCGTCCTCAAGTCGGCCTGGAAGTGGGCCTGGAAGAGCAGCAAGTCGGCCTCCCTGGGCCCAGCTCCGTCCTCTCGACGGCCTCTCCAGGTGCAAAACTTCCTCGAGTCAGCCTCTCCAGGCCCAGCTCCTCCTGCCTCCCAGTGGCCTCTTTCGGCCCAGCCCAGCTCATGGCTCTCGGCGGCCTTCCCAGGCCCCGCTTTTGACTTTTGGCAGCCTCTTCAGGCGCAGAACTTGATCTCCAGTCGGCCTTTGCAGGCCCGGCCTCCTGCGTCTCGAAGGCCTGCACGGGCCCAGCCTCGGCCTCGGCCTCACAGCGGACTCTCCACGCCCAGCTAGCTCTCGCCTCACTGCGGCCTCCCCAGTCCAAAGCTCCTGCCTTTCGGCCACTTCGGCAGGTCCAGCTCCTGCCTGCCAGTGGCCTCTTTAGGCCCAGCTCATTCCTCACGTCGGCCATTCCAGGCCCTGTTTTTCCCTTCCGGCAGCCTCTTGGCCTCTAATTTGTTTATCTTTTGTGTATAAATCCCAAAATATTGAATTTTGGAATATTTCCACCATTATGTAAATGTTTTGGTAGGTAATTTATTTGGAGTGAGTTTCTGCGCCAAGCCCGAATTTTTTATTTTATTTTCCTTATTATTTGGTGTTAAACAGGTTTAATGACGGTCATGGCAACTTTTTGGCACAATGAAAAATATCGCCCACGATCAACGTGTTCTGTTCTGGGGAAGGGGGCAAAGGCAGGGTGAATCACTTTCTTAAAAAGTATAGCTCAAGTTGGGAGTGCAGAGGGAATGGGGAGAAAACCCTCCTGCTGCCTGTGTCGAAGTGCAGGAGCCCCCACCCCCATACTCACCTGAGTCCAGCCCCTCTGGGGAAAGAAGGGGTGCATGAACTCCCCCTAGTCCACAGGCGCCTCCCTGTGGCCCAAGGCCCTCTTCACACTCCATCTTGTAGCCCCAGCAGGAGCTATTTTCCGAAAAGTGAAAAGCTCTGAAGGTCCCACAATTCATGGTATGTACAGGGGCTCGGAGGAGGGAAACTGCCCAGCTTTCCCCCGGCACAGCTGCAGGGGTAGGGGGTATAGATAAGAGGAGCAGGCCTTGGCCAGGCGTGGTGGCTCACGCCTGTAATCCCAGCACTTTGGGAGGGGGAGGCAGGCAGATCACGATGTCAGGAGATCGAAATCAGCCTGGCCAAGATGATGAAGCCCCGTCTGTACTAAAAATACAAAAATTAGCCGGACGTGGTAGCGTCCACCTGTAATCCTAGCTACCCGGAAGGCTGAGGCAGGAGAATGGCGTGAACCCAGCGGGAAGAGGTTGCAGTGAGCCAAGATCGCACCACTGCACTCCAGCCTGGGCGACAGAGCAAGACTCGGTCTCAAAAAAAAAAAAAAAAAAAAAAAAAAAAAGGAAGGCCTTACTCCGTCCCAAACTGAAAGGATTAAATGGCTTCACCTGGGAGAAGATAACCATCCTGCCCTCCATTGCTACCCCCACATACTGTCCATGTTCTCAGGGGGTACTGTGAGTCCTGGGATCTTTGGGGTTGCCCACCTGCCTGTGCTAGTTATGGAGACCCCCAGGTGTTGAGGCAGGGCTGGGGTGTCCCCTTCCAACCAGGCTGTCAAGGCACCAACTCTGGGGCAGAGGCAGTGGCAGGGCAGCCAGGGTTGTGCCAGAGCCTGAGCAGGTTGAGGTGGGGTCAGGCAGGGCTGGGAGTCAGGGCAGGGGCAGCAGCAGTGGACCTGCTATGCACACATCTTCTTCTCCAAGGTTTGTGTGCAGAACATCCTGCCCATGCTGCCCCAGCAGCTTCAGTTGGCACCTGCCTCAGTCCAGCCTCTGGGAACCATGCAGCAGCTCCCAGCGGCCCTGCACCCACCACCAGCATCCGTTTCACCTGCAGTTGAAGATCCGTGAGGTGCCCAGAAGATCATGCAGTCATCAGTCCCACGGAGCAGCCTGCGAGGCTGAGGCTCCTCCCACTGGACCGCCCCCCAACTGGCACCACTGCTGCCCCTGCCCCTACTCTCAGCCTCACGTGACTCTCGGGCAGAAGCACTGGTGGGGCAGCCAGGGCAGCGTCAAGAGTCTGAGCCAGGTGAGGTGCGGTCAGGACCCCCACAGGGCTGGGAGTCAGGGCAGGGGCAGAACAAACCTTGGAGGGGAAGATGTGTGCATAGTGGGCCTGGAGGGCGGCTGTGGCCTAGTGGACAGGAAGAAGCAGTGGGCCTGGAAGAGCTGCATGATCAGGGCCGGCACTGGTCCAGGGTACATGCAGTGAAGAGGACAGCGCCTTCTTGGTCTCCGGTTCCCTGAGCCTGTCCTCGGCTTCTCCACCTGTACAGGCAAAGGGGAAGCTGTCCCCATCACACATGGCACACTTGGGGGTGTTGGGCTTTGGACTGCAGCTGGAGCATCTTCTCATCTTGCATTTGGGCGCGGTGGGGTCCTCCAGTGTGGGGTCCATGTCCGTGGGGTTCCCTCTGCCCCGACCCCGAAAGCCCAGTCAGTTTCTCTTCAGGCTCTGCCCCCCGGGTGGCTCAGCCCAGCTCCTGCCTAGGAAAGCCTTAGTGTTGGGAGGGACCCTGATGACTGAGGAGCCTGGTAGCTCCAGGTCGCCCACACTTTCAGGTCTCTTGCACCAGAAGGTGGCAGGATCCATTGGGAGGAAACAGGCCACCTTGGAAGGCGTCCCTGGGCCCCCATCCCCAGGGGTTGGGGCCGTAGGGGGCCCGCTCTGCTGCGTTGACCAGACTCCTGGGCTTTGAAGGCTCCTGGGCCCAGTAAGAAGGAGGTGGGTGCCAAGGTTGAGGAGGAAGCATCCGAGTATGTGTAGGAGGAGGACAGGGTGTGACCATAGACTGCCAAAAGCTGCAGGTGGATCGGGGGACCCTGGGGGCTCAGGATCCAGCAAGGGGCGGCAGGAGTAAAGGAGGAAGGAATGACAGGTGCAAATACCTTCCCACCAAAGCCCTTGTTGCCCTCTGGCTCCTCCCCAGAGTTGTCCCCACTCTCAGTCGGTCACCCACTCCTTGAACTTGAGATCGGTGTCGGTGGTGCTAAAGCCATCATCAGCAATGACATCATCACCCCCTCCTCCTCATGGATGACCGTGTGCTCTTCGTCACTCGCTATGACCTCGCTGGCCATGTGCTGGGAATGAGCAGCTCACGTGGGCGGCAGCAGGGCTGCCCACGGGTCACCTCCCTCACCAGGGGCTGCAAAGTGGCCTGGAGCTCCATGCTGAGTAGAAGGCTTTGGGCCAGAGTATGATGCAGTGCCAGACACCACCTGTGTCAGTTCCCGTAGTGCCTGACGGTCTATTTCCCTGCCGTCCAGGCTGTGTACCCCGCTGTGGGAGAAGGCTTGGGCCAGGCTGAGCCAGGTTCCCTGACTGTGTGCAGCCGTTCTGCCCCACAGAAGCTGCTCCTTGGTATCCGAGCTCTGGAGTGTTTGGGCTGCAACTGACAGGAGTTCAGAGGACACCCCAGGGGCAGTGGCAGTGCCCGTCTCTGATATGCTCCGCTCCCACGAGCCCTTGTTACACTCCTGCTAGCCCCTGGCTTGTGGGCTTGGCCTCTGAGCTGGACTTCTTTCGGTCCTTGTTGCAAGTGGGCCACCTTCACCTGGAAGGCCAGGTTGTATTTCTGCATCTCATTGGGCCCCAGGGTGTACCACCGCTCGCTCAGCATCTGGCTGACGGTCCGGTTATCCTGGTTGGGGTGACCCTGGTGCGCCCCGCCAGGGCCTGGTGCCGCCTGCTGAAGATCATGAGCGCCACTCATGGGCCACCGGATGTGGTCCTTGTCTGATTTGTTGGGGCTGCGTCCATCCTTCTCAGAAGATGAGTCCTGTTCCTTGCGCAGGGCACTGAGGGACTGGGCCTGACATCATCTGAGTGGTAGAGGCAACTGGGTGTCAGGAGACATGATGGAGAGGAAAGCATCATCATGGTCATTCTCTGTCTCACTGTCCAGCAGGGACTCCCCTGAGGGGCCCAGGGCTCCTCCTCCATGGTGGGAGGTGAGCTTTTACCAGGTTCCACCAACCCCAAAGTGTGTGGGGTTGCGGGCCCTGGGCTTTCAGGGCAGGTGGCTCCAGGGGGCCGCCCAGGGTCAACACTCCCTGTCCCACCTGGTGGACGCTCATGAGCAACAGCTGCCAACTTGGCAGGTTGTTTTCTCTGGTTGGAGGCCACTGAGTGACTGGCAGGTTGCTGGGCCTCGTGTGGCTGCAGGGAGGGGTCAGGAAGGGGATGGAGTACCAGGAGAACACGGCCGCAGAGTGACCTTCCACATTCCTCCACACGAACATGCTGACGCCACGGGAGGCCTCACTGAACGCAGGCCTGGGGGCCGAGCACTTGGTCCGGGCAGGGGGTTCCTGGCAGGGGCTCACACCTCCTCGCCCCCTCCTCAGCCAAGGTGGCTTGGGCCCAGAGAAGGGGAGGTTGGAGAGGAGCAGAAGGCCAGGCCTCAAGTTTTGTTTTTTTTGTTTGTTTTGTTTTTTGTTTTTGAAATGTAGTTTGACTCTTGTCACCCAGGCTGGAGTGCAGTGGCACGATCTCAGTGGCCTTCATACCTGGCTAATTTTTTGTATTTTTACTGGAGGTGGGGTTTTGCCATGTTGGCCAGGCTGGTCTTGACCTCCCGACCTCAGGTGATCCACCCACCTCAGCCTCCCAAAATGGGATTACAGGCATGAGCCACCGCTCCCAACTTCATTCATTTTTACTTGAAAAACTCCGTTAAGCATTTTTTTAAGGTAGACCTAGTGGTCCTGAATGCCCTCAGCTTTGTTTGTCGAGGAAACACATTATTTCTTTTTCCTTTCTGAAGGACAGCTTTGTCAGACATAGTATTAGTTGCTGGCAGTTTTTTTCTTTCAGCACTTTGAATGTATTATTCGATTCTGTCCTGACCTGCAAAGTTTCTTTAACTTTTGACTATTTGATTATATTGTGACTTGGTGAGTATCTATTTGGTTTGAACCTCTTTAGGAATCTTTAAGCTTCATGGATTTAGATGTCTAAATCTTTCCCATGATTTAGGCAGTTGTCAGCCATTCTTTAAATAAGCTTTATTCTCCTTTCTCTACTTTCCTTCTCAAACTCCCATAACCTGACAATGGTTTGCTTAATGGTGTCTTGTTGGCTTTCTTTTCTCTGTCTCTTTTTTTTTTCTTTTTGAGACAGAGTCATGCTCTGTCACCCAGGCTGGAGTGTAATGTGTGGTCTCGGCTCACATTGCACTCCAACCTCCGCTTCCTGGGTTCAAGCGATTCTCCTGCCTCAGCCTCCCAAGTAGCTGGGACTACAGGTGTGTGCCACCACACCCGGCTAATTTTTGTATTTTTAGTAGAGATGGGGCTTTGTCATGTTGGACAGGCTGGTCTTGAACTCCTGACCTCTTAATCTGCCTGCCTCGGCCTCCCAAAGTGTTGGGATTACAGGCTTGAGCCACCACACCCAGCCTTCTTTTCTCTCTTTTATTCTTTTTTTCTCTGTCCACTGACTGGATAATTTCGGAAGATCTATATTCAAGTTTACAGATTCTCTCTCCTGTTGAAGTTGACTATTGTGTTATATCACCCAGTCTGGTCTTGAACTCCTGGGCTCAAGCGATCCTCCCACCTTGGCCTCCCAAAGTGCTGAGTTTACAAGCATGAGCCACTGCATCCAGTCAGTCCCAGCACTTTGGGAAGCTGAGGTGGGAGGATCACTTGAGCTCAGGAGTTTGAGACCAGCCTGGGCAACGTACTGAGAACTTGTCTCTATATTAAAAAAAAAAAAAAAGTCTTTGGGAGGCCAAAGCGGGAGGATCACCTGAGGTCAGGAGTTCGAGACCAGCCTGGCCATCATGGCAAAACCCCATCTCTACTAAAAATACAAAAATTAGCCAGGTGTGGTGGCACACGCCTGTAGTGGTGGTGCATGCCTATAGTCCCAGCTACTCAAGAGGCTGAGGCAGGAGAATCACTTGAACTGGGAGATGGAGGTTGCAGTGAGCTGAGATCGCACCAGTGCACTCCAGCCTGGGCAACAGAGTGAGACTCCATCTTATAAAAGGAAAAAAGAAAGAAAAGAAAAATTCCATATCTGAGTGTTTACTCCTGAGTTTTTGAGATTGTTATTAAGATCGTGGTCTACTGTGATGATTTGGGTTTGTTTGATAATCAGAAAAAAAGCGTATTCTTTTAGGTGTTCAGCCACACTGCTTTGGTGTCACAACTGCACATTGGTTTCACAGCTGCAGGACAAGTTCGAGCATCTTAAAATGATTCAACAGGAGGAGATAAGGAAGCTCGAGGAAGAGAAAAAAAAACTGGAAGGAGAAATCATAGATTTTTATAAAATGAAAGCTGCCTCTGAAGCACTGCAGACTCAGCTGAGCACCGATACAAAGAAAGACAAACATCGTAAGAAGCAATAGTTTCTCTTACTATTCTGAGAGCCTTATCATTCTACATCCCATCTTCCTGTGAGTTTGTCTTTGTAGCATTTAACTCTAATTGCAGTTCTCATTTTAAAAACTGGCTTGCTTATTGTATATTTTCCCCAACTAAAGCGTGAACTCCTAGCAGGGCGTGGTGGCTCATGCCTGTAATCTCAGCACTGTGGGAGGCCGAGGTGGGTCGACTACCTGAGGTTAGGAGTTCGAGACCAGCCTGACCAGCATGATGAAACGCTGTCTCTACTAAAAATACAAAAATTAGCTAGGCGTGGTGGCTGGGACCTGTAATCACAGCTACTTGGGAGGCTGAGGCAGGAGAATCACTTGAACCCTGAAGGTGGAGGTTGCAGTGAGCAGAGATCTCACCAGTACACTCCAGCCTGGGTGACAAGAGCAAAACTGCATCTCAAAAAAAAAAAAAAAAGGGGGTGAACTTGAAGGCAGGTCCTGTGTCCATCTTTTCAGATTCTGTATCCCAGCACTTAGGACATAGACAAACACGAAGATGACAATCAATATTTGCCAAAATGAAAAAACAAAAGAAACATGTAACATCATGTAAAAGAAGCTGGTTAGGTGGAGAAATTTATTTACCATAGTCTTGCTTGTGGATCCAGTAGTGACTTTTACAGTTTATATCTAAATAGAAGCTGGAGGCTTTGTTGGGGACTCATAGGCATAAAATATTATTTATTATAGAGTTAAATGCTACAAAGACAAATCTAATTAATAGGCCTATTTTCCTTTTTAAATTCTACTCATAATTTCTTCATAGTTTTTATGATAAAAGGTTGGATTTTGATTAGAACTCCCATGATTTTGTGTCAGAATTAAAACTGGTATTAGAATAAATAATTCAAAAGCTAGAGAAAGAGTACAAAGAGAAGCCATGAGTTGCATTTGAATTATAATATTATGTCTTACAGATTTGGGGTATATGCTAAAGTTACCAAAGTTGTAGAAAATAAGGCCGGGCATTGTGGCTCACATCTGTAATTCCAGCACTTTGGGAGGCCGAGGTAGATGGATCATTTGAGGTCAGGAGTTCGAGACCAGCCTGGCCAACATGGTGAAACTCCGTCTGTACTAATAGTACAAAAATTAGCCAGGCGTGATGGTGTGCACCTGTAGTCCTTGCTACTCAGAAAGCTGAGGCAGGAGAATCGCTTGTACCCAGGAGGCAGAGGTTGCAGTGAGCAGAGATTGTGCCACTGCACTCCATCCTGGGTGACAGAGTGCTATGAGTCACCACACCTGGTATGAGCCACCGTGCCTGGCCCACAATGACTTTTACACATGTTGTTAAATCATCTTACAGATTTTATAATTTGGGGGAAGAAAAGTTTTACTAAATTGTCTTTTAATGGAAACTCTACAAGAACCAGAATCTTTGCTTTGTTCACTTATGTATCCATTCCTAGGCCTAGAAAAATGTCTGACACATAGCGGCAATTATTCATTGAATAAATGGACCCAGGGATAGTACATTAGCTATGCTATATGCATACATTAAAGATGTAGATTATCGACTTTCAAAAGATAATTAATGTAACTTCTTACTGCTTCTGAACATGTTTGTGAGTTATATTGCTGAGGGACCTTTATCTTCTCATTCTTTCATCTTAACCCAGTGTTATAAAATTGAAATCACCAATATTATTCCATATCTAAAATTAATATCTACCTTGTAAAAAATATCACTCTGCTGCATTTGAGAATAGACTTTTTAGGTAATAATGATGCAATCCATAGGGTTTTTTGGGGGCACAGAGGGATTCATGCTAACAGAACATTTTATTTTCTATTTTCCCAGAGCTGTAAAACATGAAATTACGGTAGTATAAGGCATATTTTTACTCTTTTTATAATTTTTTCTAAAAAAAATTAGTGTTTGTTCCCTATATAACTTTTAACTTTATAGGTAAATATTTGTTTCTTTCAGCTCCAGTTTTATGTGAAATAGAGTTTTCAGATTTATGTAGCATGGAAAGTTTTAATACGTCAGAGTTACTGATTTTTGCCAATCATTTTCTCAATTATTTCTTTTTTATCTTTAGTTGATTTTTTTGTAGTGACACATTTTGTTTCTAGTCTCATTTCCTTTTGTTTATATTCTATGTATATTTCATTTTTGGTTACTATGAGAATTACATATAACATCCTAGAGTTATAACATTTTAATTTGAATTTATTTCAACTTAAGTTCAATCACATACCAAAATTCTACTGCTATATATATAGCTCTACTCTTTTTATGTTATTGATGTGACAAATTATATCTTTATTCATTGTATACCAGCTAACAGATTTACAATTACATTTTATGCATTTGCCTTTTAAATTATGTAGAAAATAAAAAGCAGAGTTACAAACCAAAATTACAATAGGACTGTTTTTATGTTTGTTTATGTATTTACCTTTACCAGAGAGCTTTGTATATTCATACAGCTTGCTTATTTACTTATATAGTTATTGCCTAGAGTTCATTTATTTCAACCTGAAGGACTTAACACTTCCTGAATGTCAAATTCAGGGATAAATGGATTTTTTTCAGTTTTAAAAAAAAATCCGGAAATGTCTTAATTTCTCCTTCATTTTTGAAGGATAAGTTTTCCAGCTATATATTTCTCAATTGACAGGTTTCTTCATTATTTTAAATATATAATCCACTGCCTACTGGCCTTCAAGGTTTCTGCTGAGAAATCAGCTGCTAATGTTATCTGGATCCCTATCTGTGAGAGTTGCTCTTCTCTCTGAGTTTTCAACATTCTCCCATTATCTTTTTTTTGTTTGTTTTTGAGACAAATAATTGTACATATTCATGGGATACAGAGTGATATTTTGATACATGTATACAATGCCCAGTGATCAAATAAGGATAATTAGCGTATCCATCACCTCAAATAGTTGTCATTTATTTGTATTGTGAACAGTCAACATTCTTTCTTCTAGTTTTTTAAATTTATAAACATTTAAATTTTATTACAGAAATTTAAATTTTTTGATTCTGAAAAAGTCATATATGTATGCAACATTTTTTATCGTTTATTTATATATTTATGCATCTTTCCTTTTAGTTTTGACAGAGATTTTCTATTTTATCATTATTTCAAAAGAACTCTTACCTGTATTTATTTATCAAGTATATTTCCCTTGTTTTTTCCTAGTATATTAATTTATTTACTTATCTTCTAAAAATCCTCCATATAATCTGTTTATTTTGTTTCCTTTCTATAATTTCTTCAATAATTAGTTCTGTTCTATTTTCCATTAAAATATTTAAATCTTGTATGAATTTTTGTCAGATTAGAAATTTAGGGCGTTTCTTAATTTCTCTATACTCTAGCTTTTGACTTTTTTTTTCTGACCTAAGAGGTATTTAGAGCACATTTTAGATTTTTTATTTTGACTAATCATTTAAAATGTATACTAATCTTCAATTTAAATAAAAAACTGGTCTATAGTGACAAAAATTACAAATGAGCCTAACTAATAAATTATCAGCTGTGTTTATATGTATAAGCATGCACAGATTTTGGTAAATATGTACATAGTATATTGGTGAGCTTATTTTTATCATTCTTAACTCATTGTGTAGTCTAAACGTTGGGGAAAAAATAACATACAATAATCAGATGGTGTGAATAAGAAAATTGTTCTAATGTTTGTAAACCAAGCAACTGTTTTAACTGCTCCCCTCTTCCTGATTGACTTCTAAAAGGGATTGATCCATATTGGGTCCTATCATGTACGTCACGGTATAACATCTCCAGCTATAAAATGGAAATTTGAGAATAACTTTGCTGCTACTCAGATATATTTTATTTCAAAAACATACACTAAGGTGTTGCTGTTGGATCTTTCCAAAAACATATTCACACAGAACTTTCAATCACACTGAGCCATATTTGAACAATCTTTCAAGGTCAGCTCTGGCATAAGCTAACATTATACCATTTAACTCAGAAATTTCTTTAGTATTTGATTAATGGGTTTATGTTTGATATGTAATGTAATTTTCTAATACTAAATCAAGTGGTAATTTTGTTAGTCAAGTTGATTTAGTGGCTTGGGAAGAAAGCTTTTAATGTTCCCCTAATTTTTCTTTCCTTTGACATGATCCTTCACATGTCTTATTTTGCTTAGTGATTTTTCTTTTTTTTTTTTTTTTTTTGAGACAGGGTCTTACTCTACCACCCAGGCTTGAGTGCAGTGGTGCAATCACAGCTCATTGCAGCCTTGACCTCCCAGACTCAAGCTATTCTTCCACCTCAGCCTCCCAAGTAGCTGGTACTACAGGCACATGCCACCAAACTTGGCTAATTTTTGTATTTTTTGTAGAGACAGAGTTTTGCCAAATTCTCAGGCTGGTCTGGAATTTCTGGGCTCAAGTAATCCTGCCTTGGCCTCCCAACATGCTGATATTACAGACATAAGCCACAGTACCTGGCCAGTTTTCTTTTTAAAAAAATCTATTGGTTATTAATTTGAAGCCTTCCTTTTCATAGCTGTGCTCCTTAATTGGGAGCAAACATGAATGGACCACAACTTAGCCAATTTTCTATATACGATCTTTGCCATCCTAATTTAAAGGAATATTAATTCTTTCTTTTCCTCTTTCATTCCACAAACCTGTATTGACTACATCTAAGTTCTAAATGGTGCACTGGATGTTGAAAAAGTTGATGATGAGCAAGAACAAAATTCCTGCTTTCAGGAGACTTACAGTTCAATATGGGAAATATAATTTGTTAAAATATAAAAGTGCAATTGTGTTACATGCTGTACGAAGTACATGTTGACATGTGAGCATATAATAAATGGGCTGGAGGCCAGAGGATTGCCAAAGAGAATGGGCCTCCTGCTGAGATGAAAAGTTGAGCAGGGATTAGTTGGCAAAAGTGGAGGGACGATCCTTTCTAGGCAGGAGGAAGAACATGTACAGAATCTCTGAGGTGTGATGCGACAAAGTCTATATAAAAAACTGAAGAAAGGTCTAATATGGCTTAAATACAGAAGCTAGTAGGAGAGGAGTCGAAAAGAGGCTGGAGAAGTAGAAAGTGTCTGCATTCTGCAGGAACTTATATTGTATAAAATATATTGTATATTGTATAAAAAGAATTTCTCTTTATTCTAAGTGCAATGTGAAGCCAATGAAGTGCTTTAAACAGGTGATGTGATTTGATTGAATTTATTACTTCACTTAACAAATATTCATTACATGCCCACTGTTTGTCAGATATTGCTCTAGCCCCTGGTGATACAGTAGGGAATAAAACAGGCAAAAATCCCTGTCCTCTTGCAGCTTATAATGGACTGCAATGTTTAATATGTCAGAGGAGGTCCACGGAGGAGTGACTTCTAAGCAAGAATCTGAAAAAAATGAGGATATCTAAGGAGGGAACAAATGGTTCAAAAGCCCTATAATTGCAAGCAGGCATGATGAAGCAATTGCAGTTGTCCTGACTCTCAACACCGTGGAACTCAAAGGAGATGGAAAGATTCCTTCTCTCCCTCATATATTTTCTCTCTTTCTGTCTATATATATAGAATATGAGACATTTCCCTAATCATTATGTGTAATTACAATTACATATATATATGTAATTGTAATTACACATAATGATTAGGGAAATGTCTCATATTCTTCTACTCAGAAATAAGCAATATAGCAATTACTGTTTTTTACATTTTACAGTTACAGTTTCAGAGAAAGTTTGATATTTATCTAAAATTTTTCAATGTATGAACTTTTTCATTTGACAAACCATAATTGTACATATTCTTGGGATACAGAGTGATATTTTCTTTACATGTATAGAATGTGTAGTGATCAAATCAGGGTAATTTCCACTAATTTAAAATGCCACCTTTATGTTATTGTAATTTATATATATACTATATATATACACACACACATATATATATATACATGTCCACATACAGTGTGTGTGTGCACATGTACACACATGCATATGTGTATATAATGCCCAGTATAAGCAATGTGCACAAATAAAATTAGCTAACAGAGATAGTATAGAGTGAGAGGAGAGGCAGATTAATCTTTGAGGAAAAGCACAATTTTATAGCTGAATGGAGAAAGCTGAGGTGGTTTCTAAGATGGAGAATAAGACGAAAAATGTAAGTACGTTGTCTGACTGAATTCAAGAAAGAAGGGTAAAAGAGAAGAAAGTAGTGGTCTTATCATTAAATGCCACAGAGAGGTAAAGATAAAGACAACATATTGTTTTGGGTTTAGTAATTTAAGGGTTACCAAATTCCGTTTTGGAGGAGGAACAGATTCCATGTCCACTAGAATGGAATGAACAAGAAATGGAGGAGGAAAATAGGTAGTTTTTCAAAAGTTTTCAAAAATATGAAAAGAAGAAATGAAGTGGTACTTGGAAGAGATTGTTGAAATGGGAGAGACTATGGTGGCTTGTTTAGAAGCAGTTGAGATAGATCCAATTGAGATAGAGATATTGACTATATAAACAAAAGAATGACAAATTAATAGTGTAATGGATAACTTGACTTTGGCAAATATTGTGAATTTTTGTGAAAGTACAACTAAAAGGCAATGTCACTCCAATAATCACCAGAGTAATCAATTTGCTTATTGCTGTCCCTTTAAATATAGTTCTCTGGTATCAACTAACATGTTTTTAACTAATGATGCTTCTTAAAGAAAAGGGAAAAGACCTTTTTCTTTCTTTCAGTCTTCAATGATTCACTGCTTCATCTCGCTCCACCAAAGATAAATGAAATCTACATCTCTTATACATTAACAATGCATGACAATTTACAAATAGCTAAATTTTTGGAGCTAACTTTAAGTACCTGAATGGAATTTAATCAACCCACTAATCTCCTTCTCACTTCTCAGTTATTTATCAAGTTTATGTCAAGGGACAAGGAAAAATTATCCAAACATTGTTTAAAACAATCATCATTAATTAGTAACACTTATCCAGGGGGGTTTTTAACCTTTCCCCCACTCAAGGATTATTCTAATGTCAGAGTAGAATAAAAAATAAGTGCAGTGATGCTGACTCTTCCAAGCTTAACATTTCTCACAAGTCAATTAGCTTTGTACTGGGAGGAGGGCGTGAAGGGCTGCTTGCGGTAGTTGTGTAGCAGCAGCACAATGGCCGCAGACAAGGAAAACAGTTTCTAGGAATTCCTCGTATATAATTTTATATTTTTGACAAGATTAATGACCCATGCTCCCTTCCTCTCCATTTCTTTTTTTGGAATTCTGTTGGTATGTAGTTACTATATTTTATTAAAGGAAATTAGCCTTATCTCTTATTATATTTTATTAAAGAAAATTATTATATTATTCCTTTATATTTTTATTAAAGGATTTTATTATTATTAAAGGAAATTAGCCTTATCTCTTATTATATTTTTTATGACCTTCAAAGTAGTGTCTCTGCTTAAAAGTGTACCCTGGCCGGGCGTGGTGGCTCACACCTGTAATTCCAGCACTTTGGGAGGCCGAGGCGGGTGGATCACGAGGTCAGGAGATCGAGACCATCCTGGCTAACACGGTGAAACCCCGTCTGTACTAAAAATACAAAAAATTAGCAGGGCATAGTGGCGGGCGCCTGTAGTCCCAGCTACTCAGGAGGCTCAGGCAGGAGAATGGCGTGAACCCGGGAGACGGAGCTTGCGGTGAGCTGAGATCGCACCGCTGCACTCCAGCCTGGGCGACAGAGCAAGACTCCGTCTCAAAAAAAAAAAAAAAGTATACCCTGAGGCACACATCAAGCGACATGTAGAGTTCATAAATTCTGGCCAAATGGTCATACCTCAAACCTCATCAGCAGTAAGGCTCTTTACTTGCACTGACAAATATGAACGCTGGGGAATTTGGAAATGATATATAATATATAATATTATATATATAATAGATATATAATATATAATATATATAATACATATATAATATATAATATATATAATACATATATAATATATATGTAATAGATATACAATATATAATATGTAATAGATATATATTATATATAATAGATATATAATATATAACTTTCCATGTGATTTTCCTCTTAATTTTTTTCTAGCTGATCCATATGAATTCCTCTTATTAAGAAAAATAAAGCATCCAGGATTCAATGAAGAACTGACTATCACCTTGTTAATCATTCAGAAACATGTTGCAGGCTTAAGCCATTTTTGATATAGATACTGAAACAATTACTTGCTAAGAGCAAACTTGAAGGTATGGATAAGGCCCTGAGTCATCTTCCTGAGCTGAATGATAGTTAAGCTGAATGTACGTATAAAATATAATTTTCTAACCACTTGCTCGCCAACAAGGAAAACTTTTAAGTAGAGCAGAACCTGAATAGACAAGACATTTCTTTCTTTTGGTAGAAAATGATTTACCATCACTGTGTAGTTAATTGTAGACTAGGTAATTTTAACTTTGTGATTTATTGCCGGAGACATTTTCTTCTGTACTGTAAAGTGTGTGTCAAAAAAAAAATAGCGATTTTGGAGGATTAGGGGACTTTGATAAATTGCCTGCAATTCTGACAGTATGAACTGCATATTAATTTCTGTCTTTCAAGAACATTTTTATTTATTAATTCCTTACAAAAACTCCCTAAACTTTGGAACAGCTCTCAATTGCCTGTATTCTTTTTTTTCTTATTATGGTACTCTTCTAGAGATTTGGCTTGCATCTGTGAATAAGCCAGGACATCTTCAGAAATTGTCTGATTAAAAACACCACCAGTGGAGTTTCATTAAATTTGTATTGCTCTGACTAGTGAAACACACACATCTATGTTGCTGAGGATATTTTACTGCAGTTCGAGTTGTAATAATAGCTCTGTTTAAGATCCGTCAGTCACTTGAATCTTCTCTAAGGCTTTGTATGTTAGAAGTTAATTTGCTTTCTTACAAGGCCACATTCTATCTTGTAACTAAACAACTGAATTTTATGTCTTAGCGTAGATGGTTTATTACTTTCTGGTTTTTCTTTAGTAAGAATCCTATAAAAACACTAGTATTTTTCTCTGAGTTTAAAATTCAATACATGCCTACTGATATGGTTAGGCTTTGTATCCCCACCTGAATCTCATCTTGAATTGTAATCCCCATAGTCCCCATAATCCCCACAGGTCAAGGGAGAGACCAGGTGGAGGTAATTGAATCATGGGGGCAGTTTCCCCTGTGCTGTTCTTGTGATAGTGAGTTCTCACGAGATTTGATGGTTTTATAAGGGATTCTTTCCCCTTTGCTCGGCACTTCTTCATGCTGCCTTGCGAAGAAGCTGGCTTGCTTCCTCTTTGTCTTCCGCCATGATTGTAGATTTCCTGAGGCCTCCCAAGCTGTGCTGAACGGTGAGCCAATTAAACTTCTTTCCTTTATAAATTACCCAGTCTTGGGCAGTTCTTTATAGCAGTATGAAAACAGAAAAATACACCTACTATGTAAAACTTAAAATACAAAAAAACAAAACATTATCTCACTAACATAGGAGCTAATATTTTGGTGTACTTTGTTTAGTATTTTATATTAAAAATATGTACATATATATTTATATATAATTAAGAACATGTATGTACAATCGTGCATACATCATGTACATACATCTACTTAAGAAAATAGCTATGTAATATACCATTACTCAACTAGATTATAATTTTTTCTCCATTTCTTTATTGTAATTTATCATTTTCTACTTTTTTGTTTTCTCATTTTTATTGCATAATATTTAATTATGCAAAAAATACATTAAATACATTGAAAATATATAGTGTAGCTATAAGAATAAAGAACGATGGTAAAACAAATGCTAATACCCACTACCTGACTTAAAGAATATGATATTATTTTTTTCCAATTGAAATTCCCTCAACTACTCAGAATTACTGCTATCCCTCTTATCCTTTCATTAATTTTCTTCTAGTTTTCTCACATGTGAATCTATTTCTAAATACATTTCTTTATTTTGCAAGTTTTTGGACTTCATATAAATGTAACCATATTGTATATATTCTTCTTCAGCTTCTTAGTTTTTCACTAAACAATATGTTTTGCTGATATTTACATTCATATGTACAGTAATAGTTGATTTATTTTAATGGCTATATATTATTCCATTGTTAGAATACACCAGGATTTATTTTTACTTATTTTTTTTGCTGGAAAATTGGGTGTCTTTTTTATTTTTTGATATAACAAACAATGTTGTAATCATTTTGTATTTACTTCCTAGTCCACTCCTGTAAGTTTCTCTTGAGTACATACTAGCAATGAATATGCTGAGTCACTGCATATACATACTCACAACTTTATTCTATAATGTAATATTCTATAAAGTAGCTGTATCAGTTTATACTTTAACCAGTAATGGACAAGATTTTCTATTACTTCCCATCTTTGTTATTACTTTTAGACTCTAACTTTTATCAGGCTCATGGATGTAAAAAGCATCTCAGGGTGGTTTTAATTTGCATTTATCTGCTCATCTATGAAGATGAGCTTCTTTTCATATAATTATGAGTCATTATTTTTGTTTTGCCTTCTTTTGTTTATGCATTTTGCTTGTTCTATGTCTTATTTTTCCTGTTGATTTTTGGGAGTTCATATATATTCTAAATGTATATTTATTCACTTATATATATGTTGTAAATATTACAGTTTATGATTTGTCACCTTATGATATCTTCCAAATAGAGAAGCTTTATATTTTGATGTAGTCATATGTTCATTTTTCCTCCTTAATGTTTGTTTTTCTTGGTTCTATGACCTACCAAAAGTAACAAAAATTCTCATTTATTTTTAATCTAAATGTTTTAAGTATTTTCCTGGAATTCACCTTGAATTGATTTCTATTGGAGATAGGTATCCAATCTAATTTGCCTCATATGGATAACCACTTGTTCTATTACTGCTGTAACAAATTTCTACAAACTAAGTGACCTAAAATAACACAAACTTGTCATCTTACAGTGTACACAAGTCAGAAATCAGGCATGAATTTTAGTGAACTAAAATCAAGTTGTCGACAGGCATGTTTCTTTATGGTGGCTAGGGTAGAATCCATATCCTGGCCTTTTCTATCTTCTAGAGAACATCAGCATTCCTTTTCTCATTGCCTCTCCTCTCTCTTTTTAAAGCTGGCAATGTCACATTTCTCTGACCATTCTTTCATTGTCACATCTCTCTCTGGACTCAGCTAAGAAAGGTTCTCCATTTTTAAGAACTCATGTGATTAGACTGGGCCCATCTGGGTAACCCAGGAAGATCTCTCCATCTCGGTTTGCATCCTTAATCACATCTGATAAGCCTTTATTGCATTCAGTGTAACATATTCACAGGTTCCAGGGTTAGGCATGGGCATCTTTGAGGGCCATTATTCTCCCTACCACATTATTTGCCTAGCATCTTTCATTACATTGTCCATCTATTTACTTACTGATTTCTAATGACATCCAAATCAGTTACAACATTTTATGTAAGCATTGTTTTTATTTTTATGTTATTCCACTAGTCTATTTTTCTACTCATGAATTATGGTACATGAGTTTATTTTTGCAACTTTAAGCTCAATAACATGTTTTAAGATTTCCTCAACTTTCTTTTTGCGCTTCTTCAGAAGTTGACTCTTTTGGCCCTTTGGTCTTCTATACACATTTTAGAAATGCTTTGTTGAGGACTAAGAGGAATGCTAAGATTTTGATAGGAATTTCATTGAATTTTGAGTATATTGGCATGCTACAATGGTTAGTGCTTTATACATGAAAATAATATATCCCTTCCTCTTTTCCTAGTATCATGAGATGTTTGTTAGGCAGACATGAATATTGAGTTGTATCAAATGTGGTTTTCTGCATTATTGTGGTGGTGATGTGATTTAGCTCCTTTAATTAGTTAATGTAATGAATTACATTTGTAGATTGCTCTAACTATTGAAACAAGCTTGAATTTCTGGAATAAGCCCAATGTGATATTTATTCAACAAATATTCATTGAGTATACCTAGTATGTAACATGCTTTAAGAATACACCAGTGAACCAAACAGAAATATCTGACATTACAGAACTTAACATTCCAGTATTTGGAGACAGACGATAAAAAAGTGAACATGTATATTTACAGTTTGTCAAGGAATGATAAATGAAGACTCTTAAAGTAGATGGGGAATTGGGAGTGAAGTCTGTAATTTAAATAGGGTGGGCAGGAAAGCTTCACAGAGAATGGGACATTTAAGAATAGACTTGAAGGACAGGCAAGAGCAATCTCTATGTTTATATGGGAGAAAAGGTTCCAGGCAGATGCAGTAACAATGGCAAATATCCTGAAGTAGGATCATGCTGGAGTTTTTGTGGAGCAGCAAGGAGGCTAGTGTGACTGCCACAGAATCACCCAAGGGAAGATGAGAAGATCAGACCAGACCAGCACTTGGGCATCTAATGGGAAAAGTTTCTCAGGCCATCATAAAAATTTCACTTTTACTATAAATACTATGAGAAACCATGGGATGTTTTACAGTAAGAAAGGTGGCATAATATGTTACATGTTTTAAACAAACTCTATAGCTTCTGAGTTGAAATAGATTGTAGGGGCTCATGGCAGAATCAGAGGGAACATTTAGGAGACTACTGTAAAGAATATCATGAAAAGAACAAACAACGCTATGTAACATGCTTAAATGGACTGAAGAAGATGTATAAAATCAAAATGATGTTACCTTCACACCTTGAATCAGTACGATAAACCCCCCTCCCCAATCACAAAAGAAAAACTAAACACAAAAACCAGGCTTTGGTTGCTCAGACAATTTTACAGGTGAGTTCTAGCAAACATGCAAAGAACGTTTAATTGCACTGTTACAGAAATTCTTCTGGAGACAAGAAAATAAGACACATCACCCAACCAATTTCATAATAACAATGTCAATGTATAATAACAGAAAAAGTGGATCTCCAAAGAAATAAATTTATTTGGAAATAAACAAGGATTATAATCTGAGATATTTGTGCTATGATCAATCATAGGTGCATCCCAAGAGGTTGAGGTAAGGAAAATATGTAAAGACAAAAAGAAGTCCATGCAAGCTGTTTTGAAACAAACATCATTGGTCACAGGGTCTGATGCAGGAGCTGGTGTTAACTTACTGGCAGAAACAGCCATTGCTAGGCAAGTGTTCTTGTGAGGGTGGCTTATCTGAAATGCTGCAGTCTTGAGGAATTTTTTATGATAGGTCCTATTATAGAGACACCTACAGGATGAGCTGGACAAACTGTGTGCTGGGTGGGCAGAAATTTCTTGTGAGTTTATAGAAAGTCCTTGTGATAGTGCTTATCGTGGACAGACACACAAGATCCCCTTTTTCATGACCCGGCTCCACTTTGCTTTGGGTCTGATGTAAGTGACTTTGCCTTGTCATTGGCAACTTTCACTGTAGTATAATCTGCACATTAAAGTTACCTAACAATAGTACAAAGAAAGAAAATTAAAGGTATATCTCTTTCAAAAATATAAACCCCAAAATTGTTAGGAAATTGTAGTGAGTATAAAAGATAATTCATTATAATAAACATCTCAAGCTTCACAGAATTCTGACCTTTGCTACACTCTCATCCACAATCTTTTCTCCTAGTAAATGGCAGCTCCTTCTGTTAAGTTGCTGAGGCTTCTTATTGCTTTTTTCTTCAAATAACAGTCAGAACTGAACAACTGTAATCATCCTAGTCCATACAATTGTTATATTTTCATTTAAAGAAGATCAATGTGTGATTCTTTTTTTATATATTTCTGGACAATTCTTTATATTTTAATAGTAGTCAGAATTTGATCAGGAAAACAGAAGACATCCTATGTATTATAATGATAAAAGTTTAATATTAATTAGGGCCTTATGCTATTATTGGAAGAGCTTGGTGAATAGATATTAGAAAAGCAGCTAGACAAAATCAGAAGAGGTCTGTTTTATATCAGAGATCTTAGCCTGACAGTCTAGAGTGTGGGCACAGAACCCAAGCTTATAGGAATTTCTGAAAGGTCTGTAAATCTTATCCAGATGGACAGTGGGAGCTCATAAAGGATTCTGCAAGCCATCACATCTGTCAAACCTGCTATGTCTAATCCTTAAGCCTGCTTTATGTGAAGACCTCCTCTTCACTCCTCATTTCCAGCTCTCATGAGTTTCTTTCATAGGCAAACCCAGACCTGGAACAATGTGCCTGAAGACTTCGGGTGACACAGTACCCAGACTTAAATAGGAGGGGAGCCATGGTGGAAGTGGCCATCCAGCACAATTTTCTTGGTCTTTACTCATAGTTGTGATTCCTTAAAAAAATTAACCACATTAAAATATGTGTTTCATAATCTACATCTAATAATACAAATATTTAAAGTCTTTTCAAGTTTGAATACGCTACCCATGTTGCTGCTACCCCCATTTTGTGTGTGTGATTTTTGTGTGTGTGTGTTAGAAGCTCATGACCTTTGAAACCTGCTCTTATGAGCTTGCTTTGATGATTTATTTGTCCAGAGAGGATTTTTTTTCCTACCTAGCATTTTGGACTGCTATCAACCTGAGACCACTTTGAATTAAATTCTCAGCTTGCAAATTTGGAAGCCACACAGATTGTGTGAGTTCAGGCTGAAACCTGTTTGAGAGCTGGATTCTGGCTATAAACTCCACAGGGAACATTTTCTCTCTCCACTCAGAGCTGAGACCATAGGGAAATTTATTTGCTAGCTCACTTTGAAGGTTTATTTTATTTATTTTTTAAATTTCTAGTACACGTGCTCACTGAAGGTGTAATACTTATGTGAGAATCTCAAAATCAGTTGTGTTCTTTGTATGACCCTGGTTTTGTTTCCTCCTGCTCTCTTACTTTCAGTGTGTCTCAGTATGTCTGCTCAATATGTCATCTTAAATTTCAACTGAGGGTGGATCTTCTTCCCAGCTCACTCACATGGTTCTTAGCTAGATTCAGTTTCTCTCCATTTGTAGGACTGAGGACCTCAGTTCTTCACTTAGGGTTGGCTACAGGTAATCGTCAATTTCTTGTAACAGGACTTACACTGTGCCACTGACAGCATGCCAGTTGGCTTCATTCAAATGAGAGGGCAAGAGAAAGAGAGAGAGGGAGAGGGCACAAGATGAAATTCACAGTATCTTATAAACTAATCTCAGAAGTGGCATCTCATTTCTTTTGTTCTATTCTATTCAATAGAAACAAGTACCTGGGACCAGCTTACACTATAGGAAAGAGATTATATAAGGGTATAAATACCAAGAGGTAGAGATCATCAAGAGCCATTCTGGTAGCAGCCACAATATCTTATCCAGAATATTTCTTATTCAGGCCTTCAAATGTGCTGTCTTTTCTGGTCTAATGGAAATGAACCTTCCTTCCATACAATTTCTTCTCCTAAATTGTACTCTGGCTCTCTTATCATATACAAACGTCTATGTTAGGTATTTGTGTCTGTCTTGATTCTTGGTAGGCTTTTAAACTCTGTGAATGTTGGACTGTGATGTAGACATCATTTCACCGCACACTCTGTAACCACCAAACCTTAGCAGCTTATTCAGTGAGCACATACTTGGCTCTTAATGAGTATTGCTTAAATTGATGAATTGAATTAGTATTTTACCTTCTCTGTTGCTTAGCTAAGCAGAAGAATTTGTCATTTTTTTAATGTAGTGACTGGTTCTATTAAAAGTTACCTTTGTCTATATCATTTTGTTATACTAAAGCACAAATGTATAAGGTCAAAAAACATTCTCAAGATTTTGTTTAAACCACAGCCCTCAGTTGTGTATATTTATCTCTTGTTTTCATATGCAAGATTTCTCCTGAAATGGGCAACAATTACAAGAGTTTTTTTCCTCTTCTGAACTAAGAAAATAAATATTTAATTCACAAGTTTAGAAAAGTGAACCTGAAAAATCACAGGGCTAGGTGGGTTATGAGGCCCACTGGTACATGATAGTGTTGAATGTGGATTAGAATGAACTCCGTGGATTAGAATCTCAGACCATAGGCAAACATTTACTTGTTTTAGAATAAGCACATTTGAGTCTGCAATAAGTATTACTATTTTTAAGTTGAAAATGTAATTGGTTTCTAATAATAACCATATTGGCTAGCATTATTTCAATCGTGTTTAATGTTTTCCAATGTCATTTCATGTCAGATATCTCTCTTGATTCTTAGTAACAATTTGGACAAGACAGCAAATGCTATTGTCCAAGTTTTCTAAAGAAGAATCTGAAGTGAAATGACATCAAGAGACCTATCAAGACCTGTATCCAGGAAAAGGTAAATCTGAGCTGAAATTGTAGCCCTTGTAAATTACCTACGTGACATACCAGATAGTGTTCATGATCCATTTAGTACTCTGTTCTAAAAATGAGACAATATCCATTTATTCACTTGTTCATTTATTTAGTGTTTGTTCAGCCCTTACTGCATATTCCAGGCACTATTCTGACTGTGGCAGGAGTGAACAAACAGGCATGGTTCTTACTTGCATGTAATTACAGTCTTATAGTGAAAACAAGTGTTAAACAACAAAATCTCCCAATTATTTTAAAATTATAAACTTGATTCGATACTATGTGGCCATATAATTGTTCCTAATTTGGTTGGAGAAGGGAGGCAGTTAGGGAAGCCTTCCCTGAGTTAGTGCCATTTAACCTGAATTATGATAGATGATAAGTAATTTGTCAGGGGAAAAATACTCCAGGAATAAAGAACAGGTACAAAGGTCAGGTTCTGGGAAGAGCTTGTCTTGGTCCAGGAGCTAAAAAATGTTAGAGTGGCTGGATCTGGGAAAGAGACAAAGAGTTATTAAATGAGGCAGCAGGCTTCAGCAGGTGCCACATTGCTCAGGGCCTTGTAGGCCATGCTAAGGATTTGGGATGTTAATGTCAGTACAAACAATTGAGTCGTAAGCAGAAAGTAAAAGCATGATTCCATCAAATGTTATTCTCTAAACAGTAATTTTATAAATACAGGTTAAATGTGTGTGGTCCCAGCTACTCAGGAGGTCCCAGCTACTCAGTATTCCTTTTCAACAAATATTAGGTGCCTACTATTAGCCAGGTACAGCCCTTAGCTACTTTGAATGAAGCATATATTACAAACTGGCAGAATTTCTTAAACAAAGAATCTAAAGTTGTTTATACACCGTAATCTCGGTATTTTATAAATTTCTTGAAATTATTTTTATGTACACTGCTTTGCAGAATTTTAACTGGCTTTGAAATAAACAATGACAATAGTCCTCCATGTTACTAGTTTCAAATTTTCCCAATACCTACTAAGACATTACTTAATCCACAGATTTACTGTCAATAGTTTGTATCAAATTGTGATAACATATTTGAAATTAATATTTCAAATTAAAGCAAAATCACAAATTTATACTTTATATTATGAATGAGATTCACAAAAGGAGCATGATAATATATTCTGTTGTCATCGCATACAAAATAATAACATAGAGTATGAATCAATAATTTTTCAAATACAAAGCTATTACAATTAGGAATACAAAGAAATCATAATTAGGAATACTTCTACAATATTAACACACAATAGTGGTAACACTTGCAAAATGATGGTGGTGGTTTTTTTTGTTTTTTTTTTTCCCCGACAGAGTCTTGCTCTTGTTGCCCAGGCTGGAGTGCAATGGCATGATTTTGGCTCACTGTAAACTCCACCTCCTGGGTTCAAGCGATTCTCCTGCCTCAGCCTCCCTAGTAGCTGGTATTACAGGTGCCTGCCACCACACCCAGCTAATTTTTGTATTTTTAGTAGAGATGGGGGTTTCACCATGTTGGCCAGCCTGGTCCCGAACTCCTGACCTTAGGTGATCCACCAGCATCGGCCTCCCAAAGTGCTGGGATTACAGGTGTGAGCCACTGTGTCCAGCCAGTGGTGGGTCTCATATCTCAATGTGGACTTTTACTAACTCCCAATGCCTCAGTTTCCTCATCAGTTGAAAGGAATGAATGAAAGATATGTGTTTTTCATATTACCAGGTAGATGATAAGGAGATTTTAATTTTCTTTTTTTTTTAACTTTTATTTTAAGTTTAGGGGCATTTGTTACATAGGTAGACTGGTGTCACAGGGGGTTATTGTACAGATCATTTCATCACCCAGGTATTAAACCTAGTACCCAATAGTTATCTTTTCTGTTTCTCTTCCTTTTCTCACCCTCCACCCTCAAGTAGACCCCAGTGTCTGTTTTATTCTTTGTGTTCATGAGTTCTCATCATTTAGCTCCCACTTATAACTGAGAGTATGCTGTATTTGGTTTTCTGTTCCTGCATTAGTTTGCTAAGGATAATAGAAGGTCCATCCATATTCCAGCAAAAGACATGATATCATTTTTTAATGGCGGCATAGTATTCCATGGTGTATATGTACCACATTTTCTTTATCCAATCTGTCATTGATGGGCATTTAGGTTGATCCCATACTTTTGCTATTGTGAACAGTGCTGCAATGAACATTTGTATGCATGTGTCTTTATGGTAGAATGGTTTATATTCATCTGGGTATATACCCAGTAGTGGGATTACTGGGTCGAATGGTAGCTCTGCTTTTAGCTCTTTGAGGAATCACTTTCCTTGCACAATGATTGAACTGATTTGCACACCCAACAACAGTGTATAAGCATTCCCTTTTCTCCATAGCCTCACTAGCATCTGTTATTTTTTGACTTTTTAATGATAGCTATTCTGACTGGTGTGAGATGGTATCTCATTATGGTTTTGATTTGCATTTCTCTAATGATCAGTGATGTTGAACTTTTTTTTTGTATGTTTGTTGGCTGCATGCATGTATTCTTTTGAAAAGTGTCTGTTCATTCCCTTTGCCCAATTTTAATGGGGTTGATTGTTTTTCTTTTGTAAATTTCTTTACATTTGAAATGTTTTTATTATTAAGTTGAGCTGCCTCATTCTTAGTATGGTTTTTCACTTTAAAAAGCATAAAGGTGGACATGGTGGCATATGCTAGTAATCCCAACTACTGGGGAGACTAATACAGGAGGGTTGCTTGAGCCCAGGAGTTCAAGGCTATAATGTGCTATGATCATGACTGTGAACAACCACTGTACTGCAGCCTGGGCAGAGTGACATAGTGAAACCATATCTCTAAAAAAAGAGAAAATGTAATTTAAATATTTAAATACATATGTATATGTGTGTATATATGTATATATATTGCATATATCAAAAATGGTTTGTAGTTTCCATTCACAGCACATAGTAAAATGTCTTAACCTCCTCCCTCCTCCCTATGTGTGTTTTTCTAAGTGTGTGTCTTTTTTACCTTAATTTTTCTCTTAGTGTCTCATAGTCTTCTAAGGTCTCCCTCTTTCTTCTGTCTTTCACACACACACACACACACACACACACACACACACACACGCATACACACATGTACCTTGAAAAATAGCTTTTCTTTTTCTTAAAACTTCCCAAAGCTTTCATAAAATTAGCCCTCAAGCACTCTTACGTATCTCATCCACTCTTCTTCCTCTCTCCCCTTCCTGAAGCCATTTGTAACTTACTCTATTACACTAGGAAGGGGAAGCAAATATTCATATTATTTTCTTGTTATATCCTTAGCCTTACTAGACCTTTGTGGTTTCTATGGATGAGGGACATAATATTTATTAATTTATTCTAAACTTCAGTCACTCATAATATACCCTTTTATTCCTCCTTCTTCTGTGATATTGGGAGTGTATAGTTGTCATTGTGACAAACCCTTTGCTGTCAGTATCTATAGTGGATGGGGAGAAAAGGAGGGCTTTGCCAGTCATCGTCTCCAGTGCATTTCCCACTGTCAGTGTCATTGTCTAATGCTGTTTGCATCCACACAGCCTAAGGGAACCGTTCAAGTGAGTGACTCCCTCCCTTCACTTCAGCCCATCACTTGAGCATTTCTCTCCCTTGAAAAAAGACAAGTGGTGCTTCTAAGACTTGAGTAATTCTGAATATAATTGAGGACTAGATGTTCCTGTTTTATATCCTACAGGGCTGGCATCTCTAATGCTGAAAGTACAACAAAGTGCAGTGGTAGTCACTGAGTGTTCAGCCATGCTGGGTCATCAAAATAAAAGGAGATCGTCTTCCCATTCCTATCAATGGCCTCATCTCTACCAGATATATAACTGGAAAAACAATGCATTTGCTTAAACATCCACAGTGAGCCACACTTGTTCGGTGTTGTGGGGAAATGATGCAGAAACATCCTTGTTTATTAAGGATCCAATATTGATAGGCTGAGGCATATTTTTCCTCCCAAGTCTGCACATGGTCATGCATTAAATATTAATGAGCATCTTCTCTCTATCAGGCTTTGGGGGATATGTTCACCTCTTGGGAGGTGAACATGATAGATAAGATCCTTTCTCTCATGTAGCATTCTCTCCATTCTTTTTTTTTTTTTTTTGATAGTGACTAGCTCTGTCACCTAGGCTAGAGTGCAGTGGTGCAAACATGACTCACTGCAGCCTTGACCTCATGGACTCAAGTGATCCTCAAGTGATCCTCTTGCCTCCACAACATCCAGCTAACTTTTAAAAAATTTTTTGAAGAGAAGGTTTTGCCATGTTGCCTCAGCCTCCTGAAGTGGTGGGATTACAGGTGTGAGCCACTGCACCTGGCCATGTTTTCTTTCCATTCTTATGGAAGGCAGTATTCAGCAAAACAGTTAATCAATTGAGAATATATTAGGTTGTTATAGGAACCATGAAAAAATAAAATAGAGTGTGTAAAGAAGGCTTGATGGCCAGGAAGCTTTTACAGGGAAGTGACATTGGAACTGAGACCAAATACTTAAAGAAGGCAGTTCTTTGAAGAGTTGATGGGAAAGTATTCCAAGAAGTGGGAATGGCAAGGGGAAAGGACTTAAGATGTAACCTCAGAATGATTAAGGAGGAGCATGGTACAAGAGGATGTCAGAAACATAGCCAGGAAAGAGAGCTATGCTTAAGTATTAGGATTTTATTCTTTGCAAAGGAAAAGCCCATTGAAGCTTTAAAGCAAGGCCCTAAGAGTTAACATAATTTTTTTAAGGTACCTTAAAAATTTTGCTGAATGAAGAATTCATTGAAGTGAGTCAGGAATGTATGATTTTGGACAACTGACACAATGCCTGAGGCATAGTTTCTTCATATGGAAATTGGAGACAATGATCATATCTACCTTAGCAGATTATATAATGAATTATTTTCCTAGGGCTCCTGTAATAAGGTACCACAAACTGGGTAACTTAAGCAACAGAGATTTATTGCCTCACAATTCTAGAGGTGAGAAGTCCAGATCAAGAAGCTGGCAGGGCTAGGCTGCCTGAAAAGGTGCTAAGGAAGGAACTGTTCCAGTCCTCTTTCTCTCCTTCCAGTAGTTCCTTGGCTTGTGACAGCACAGTGTCAATTCTCATATGGCATCCTCCCCGTGTGCCTCTCTCTATGTCCAAATCTCCCTTTTATTTAAGGACAGAGTCACAGTGGATTAGAACATCCCCATAACATGAAGATTGCATGAAATTATATACATAAATAACTCAACAACATAGCTTCCAAATAGAAAACACTCAGCCTTTGTCATCTCATCATTATTTGTTTACACCTTTGTATTATTGGTATAGCTCTAGTCTTTTGAAAAGTGCAGTTACTCATCTTTGTGTTTTCCACTCCTTTATAGCTAAGTGTAAGGTGCTTTTGCAAAATCCAGTACTGCATATTTGAGAAATGCTTTTTATTCCTACACATACTGCATATACTGTTACACAATTCGATTTTGTAGGTCTAATGAAGTTGGTCTTTCTATGAGTTCCTATGGCTAAAAATAGTCACAATTGTGTACTCCAGTAAATTGTTAGAATGAAGGAAAATAGTTTGAGTGAAATTATCAATCTGGTTTTTCTGACTTCAGCTGTGTGTCATGTTTGGTTAGTCAGAGAAACATCTAATGTGAGGCCCCTGGAGGACAGCTGATAAGTAAGCATACCAAGTAGAATGGCTACTGGAAAAAGTGTGCCAGCTAGAGAGAGAGAGAAAAGAGAGAGTTAATTTACCATTTGCTCAAGTAAGGAATGATCCACAAATTCAACAAAATCTAAGTAGTCTTAAAGGACATGTCATTGACAGATTTATCTTCTAGTCTCCCACTTTGTCTAATAGTGCTTCAAAACAAAGCAATTTACTGAACCCAGTGGTCTCATTATTCTGGAGGTTTATAAGGTTAAAAATACCTGGAGTTTTGGGAGCAGCAATAGCACTGAAGTGGGATATTAGTAGTGATGCGTGTGTTTACAGCACCTGTGAACACACAGAGACTGAAGCTTGAAGGCTGATGACCCTGAGTTAGGGGAAAACATAAAACTTTTTATTAGATTTTTTTAATGTCGAGAAGAAAATTATTTATCTCCATATTTCCTGAATATTATCCTGTTACAATTATGTCAATGATTCTCACCCCAGTTATATATTAAAATTACCTGGAGATATATAAAAACTATCAATGTTCTATTCTTCTACAGATTAAATCATCATCACTGAGGGTGGCCCTCCAGCAACCAGGTTTGAGAACCACTTTAGACCAGAATTTTTCTCTGTGCCATTCAGTAATGGCAATGATAACTGTAGGATATGCAAATTGCAGAAAGACAATGGCAAATGATTTAACTTATCCCCAAACAGCTGAACTATCTTAAGCCTCATGGCTACTTTAGAGTGACCAAATCCATGTAGATGCCAGAAGTTGTGTCATACACCTATTTCAAGGGACACATAGAATTTACCTATATATACCTACCTCAAGGGTCATGTCAGTTTACTATTCCCCTAAACAACAGCTTAATAGTATAAACTGCTGAACTGCTGTCTGCCTAATATTTATTGTGGCTATACTTCTTCTTTTCTGTATTAAAGGCCACTGCTTTCCCAGCTTGCTCTTTGTTCTCCATCATCTGTTGTGGGTCACTTGTGCTTTCTGATTTTAACACCCATGTTGCTGAAGTCATTTCTCCAATTCATGATCCATGAAACTACTTCAGCAGTGAAAATGGCACCCCTCAGGTTCAAGTCAACACTTTTATATTTCCCTCTAGGTCAAGATCCAAGCTATGGAAGAAATCAGGATATGTCAATTTTCTAGAGCAGCCAAGTTTTCTAAAAGTCTACCTAGCCATGTAGTTATGTAGCCTCACTCTCACTTAAACAAAGAAAATTAAAAAGCACACCAGAAAAGACTTTTCTTGTTAAAAACACATGTTTATTGTAGAAAATATAGTAAGGAAAAAGAAGAAAATATAAGGCAACTAGAATTTCTCTAGTTAGAGATAACTATTATTTATTTGAGTGTGTGTATATATCTATATATATATTGACATTCAGCTCTTATGTACTAGATACACACATCTACTGTTTCATAAGCTTTTTTCACAGAATAGATTATAATCAGTTATGTTTGTTATCACCACAACATTTTCTTCTTGAAGACCTTCTGGAATGAGGCATTTGCTTTTCTATCTAGAGACCCTATCCTTTCAAAAGGTCCTTTATCTGTGGAAAGAGCTATTCTGGCCACAGTTACTGCCAAGAAACAAGGTGTTAGAAAAGGCCTAAAGTTAAGTGCAGAACTGCTGTGTTTTGATGAATATTCCGTTGTTTTGAGAGGAGGTAGAAGCATTCTCAGCTTCAGGATATTTGCTCACTACTCATTAGTCTCTCTGAGAAGTAGCAAACTTCAAAGGTTAAATATGAAGAGATGAATTGTGTAATGCCTAGATGTCAGTAGCGGAGAAGGTATCTGAGCAAATTCAGAATTTTATCCCTGTCTCCATGGGCCTAGTGTGAAGAACAGTCATTTGTGTAAGTGGGTCTTTGTGTATATGGTAGTGAATCAGGTCACTGAGTCAGAAACTTAGAGCTGTAAGGAAAGTGAGGTGCTCTCCAGTCCAGTGTTCTGGAATTTCTTCTGCAGTGGCCCCCAACAGCAGGTGGCAGCCTCGTCCATGATTCTATTCTTAAGTGACATGGTATTACTCTTTGTATTTGCAATCCATTTCACTGATGGATAGTTCTAGAGATCTGAAATATTGAGATTTAGCTCAGTGTTGTTTATATGAAGATAAATTCCGCTTTCCAACAACTCTCTTGTATGTGTCTAATGTCTGCCGCATGGAATGTCACAGATTATGCTTCATACTTGTCTTCCTGAGTCTTCTTTATCCAGAACACCCTGAGTTTTTGAATGGTTGACATGCCAGCTGGCTTTCTGCAGATGTACTTCTCGCGTGTAAATTTCCTTCTCTGTGAGGTATTCATATTGAACATGACCTCCAAGTGTGTTTGGGTCTGTGCAGAAGACAATAGGACTGTGATTTCTGATGATTAAAACCTGGATTGTATGTTACTGTGATCAGACCCTGAGACTGTGTTAGCAAGTTTTATAGCATCTGAGTCGCTCTGTTGGAGGAAAGTGCATGTGATGGGCATTTGCTTGCTTCCCCACCAGATTCTCTACCTTCACCCTTCCTGCAAGATTCCCTAGGAAGCTGACTTCTGCTGAATGCAACACTCAGGTTCTCTGCTTCCTAGATTCTAGTTGAGTTTGGTCCATGGGAGGCCTTGGCAGAAATTTTGAGAGTAAGAGCAAATAATTACTTAACCATTAGAAAAAAATAACATGAATGTGTCCTTCTATCCATGACCTCAGTTCCTGTTGGGGAGCCTCGGTGCCAATCCCTCGGTGCATCACCATTTCTAATTAGTTCCTGTTTTAGTCTGCTTTTGCGTGTGTGTGTATGTGTGTGTGTGTGTGTGTGTGTGTTGTTATAAAGGAATACCAGAGGCTGAATAATTTTAAAGAAGAGAGGTTTATTTGGCTCACAGTTCTGAAGGTGTGCAAGAAGCATGGTGCCACCATTTGCTTCTGGTGAGGGCGTTAGGCTGTTTCCACTCATGGCAGAAGGGGAAGGGAAGCTGGCATGTGCAGAGATCACGTGGCGAGAGAGAGGGGTTTGTGCCAGGCTCTTGTTAACAACCAGCTCTTGTGGGAATTAAGAGAGCTAGAACTAGGTAGGCATGGTGGCTCACACCTGTAATCCCAGCACTTTGGGAGGCCGAGGCAGGTGTATCACCTGAGGTCAGGAGTTTGAGACCAGCCTGGCCAACATGGTGAAACCCCGTCTCTACTAAAAATACCAAAAATTAGCTGGGCATAGTGGTGGGCACCTGTAATCCTAGCTACTCTGGAGGCTGACACAGGAGAATGGGTTGAACCCGTGAGGTGGATGTTGCAGTGAGCCAAGATCGCACCACTACATTCCAACCTGGGCAGCAAGAGTGAAACTACATCTCAAAAAGAAAAAAAAGAGCGAGCAAGAACTCACTTGGATGGCACCAAGACATTCGTGAGAGGTCCACACTCAGGACCAAAACACCTCCCATTAGGCCCCACCTCCAACAATGGGGATCACATTTCAACATGAGTTTGGAGTGGTCAAATATCCAAACCCTAGCAGTTCCCTTAACCCTGGAAAGAGACCCTTCATTAAACTCTTTCTGCTTAATCCTTTGAGAGTGCAACAATTTCCTGCTAGGACCCTGACAGATAGAGGGACCATACAGATCACTAAAATGCTGAGGAATTTTTCAAATGAACTGCACCCAACAGACCTCCCTGATTCTGAATATATCAAACTTTTATTTTTTATTTTATTTTATTTTACTTTTTGAGACGGAATCTCGCTCTGTCGCCCAGGCTGGAGTGCAGTGGTGCGATCTCGGCTCCCTGCAACCTCCACCTCCTGGGTTCAAGCGATTCTCCTGCCTTAGCCTCCCGAGTAGCTGGGACTACAGGCATCCACCAGCAGGCCCGGCTAATTTTTTATTTTTAGTAGAGATGGGGTTTCACCATGTTGACCGGGCTGGTCTTCAACTCCTGACTTCATGATCTGCCCACCTTGGCTTCCCTAAGTGCTTGGATTACAGGCGTGAGCCGCTGCACCCAGCCAAACTTTAAAAAAAAACCCAAATAGTACTTTGAACTTCACCCGCAGGGAGTTATTCAAATTGGTTGTCAGCCAGTTATTTCAGGTTGTTGAGATCATCTGGCTCTTGATTTTATTAATCATCTTAGCCTTCCCTTTCAACAATTTGCCGACTTTGTGCAAATTTTATTAATATGTGATCTCTGTCTTTATCCATGGAGAGGCAGTAGAGTATCATAAGGAAAAATAGACTTTGGAGTAGGCAGAAATTAGGTTTGAATTACTAGCCACGAGGCTTTGGGAACATTACTTAAACTCTATAAGCTTCAATTTCTTTATCTATAAGGTAGGTATAAAACCTGAAAGTTTTGGCATGAGTTTAGTAAAACTGTCTGTGAAGCCCTTGTGGACTGCTTGGTCCATGTAGGCATTTGATAAACGGTGGCTTTATATAGAGGAGGGAAATGCAAGCTATCTCAAAAAGAAATCAGGGAAATAAGAATGCCATCTGAAATCTGTCATATGAGAATGAAAGGAGCATAGACAGGTTTTGAGTGTGGGGTGAGGAGTAGGGGAGGGGAGGAGATAAGTGAACTGCCCCTCAGACTTCCAGGGAGGAGAAAAATGATGTCACTGGGAACTGCAGTCATTTGAAAAGATAGCAGTCAAGCATCTCTTTCAGAGCCCTGTTCATCTTTCAGTGGCTTTGCTTCTCCAGATGCTTTTGCTCCTTCAATTATCTCTGCCTTCTCCCACCTCCTCTCCAACCATCTCTTCCCTTCCTTAATTCACAATTTTTCTCCCTCTTTTCAAGGCATAGTGCTTTGATTTATAAATTAGTTCTATGTTTCTGTTTTCTAGTTTATTAGTTTCTGCTTTCTTATTTATTTATTTTGAGATGGAGTGTCACTCTGTTGCCCCAGCTGGAGTGCAGTGGCATGATCTTGGCTCACTGCAACCTCTGCCTCTCAGGTTCAAGAGATTCTCCTGCCTCAGCCTCCCAAGTAGCTCGAATTACAGGAGTGCACAACCAAGCCTGGCTAGTTTTTGTATTTGTAGGAGAGACAAGATTTCACCATGTTGGCCAGGCTGGTCTGGAACTCCTGACCTCAGGTGATCTGCCTGCCTCAGCCTCCCAAAGTGCTGGGATTACAGATGTGAGTCACCGTGGCTAGCCTGCTTTCATATTTATTAATACATTATTTCCACTTTCCTAAGGATAGTTGTTGTTCAACCTTTACTAGCTTTTTTGTTGTTCATACTTAATACATTTATTTTTATTGTGCTATAGCTATTTCCCACATGTGATTTTTTTTTTTTTTTTGAGATAGGATCTTGCTCTGTTGCTGAGGCTGGAGTGCAGTGATATGATCATGGCTTGCTGAAGCCCTGAACTCCTGAGGTTGGGTGATTCTCCCACCTTAGCCTCCCAAGTAGATGGGATTACAGGAAGTACCACTATACCTGGCTATTTAAAATTTTTTTTGGCGTGTGTGGAGATGGAGTCTCCCTATGTTGTCCAGGCTGGTTGCGAACTCCTGGTCTCAAGTGATCCTGCCACCTTGGCATCTCAAAATGCTGGGATTACACATGTGTAATATTTTTATTGTCACTATTTTCCACATATTCTGGAAATTTTATTTGGATTTCTTTTTTTTTTTTTGACAGAGTCTTGCTGTGTCACCTAGGCTGGAGTGCAGTGGTGCAATCTCAGCTCACTGCAACCTCCACCTTCTGGGTTCAAGGAATTCTCCTGCCTCAGCCTCCTAAGTAGCTGGGATTACAGGCATGAGCCACCAGGCCCAGCTAATTTTTGTATTTTTAGTAGAGACAGGGTGTTACCATGTTGACGAGGCTGGTCTTGAACTGCTGACCTCAAGTGACCTGCCCACCTTGGCCTCCCAAAGTACTGGAATTACAGGCATGAGCCACTGTACCCGGCCTGGATTTCTTTTTGACATAGAATTATTTAAGAGAAAGCTTTTAAATTTCCATGCTGTAATTTCTAGTTTTGTTGTGTCATAATCAGAGAATATAATCTGTAGCATTTCTACATTCTCTACTTTGCTTAGATGTTTTTAGGGTGGGGTGTGTAATATGTACTGAATTTTGTAAACATTTTATGGACATACAAATTTCAATGTTTACTTTTTCAGGCTATAGGCTTTGCTACATAATTTTTGTGTATTTTGTGGTCCTCATATAGATTTTTTAATTATCTTTTTGCTGTGATAGAGATTAGAAGGGTAAATTAATGTCTCATTTACCATCATTTTTCTTTCTGTATCTCTTTTCATTTCCTGATGCTTTGGTTTTATGAAATCTTTATGTATAAAAATTGTGCCATATCTTTATGCACAGTGTTTTGGATTTTACCCTTCATAATGAGCTTTTTTCTCTCCTTTGAATTTGACCTGGCCTGGTGTTAACAGCCCAGGTGTAAAATTCCAGTGAGAAAGAAGTCTGATGAGGAGTCAGTAGGATCTTTGTGTTGCTGAGAACTGCTCAGTAACACGGACAGCTCCCTGAACTCCAGGAAACATCCTGATTTAGTGTTTTGAGTATTGTGAAGCACAGTTAGAGCAGAAACATGGAGAATCACCTTAAATGGCAAATTGGCTTCTGGTCTTGCATAAGACTTCATTGAGGCCTAATGGGCTATGCAGGTCTACTGTCCAAAGTACAGAGGTTATTCCTAGTGTCTTTAATATTACTGTCCCTTTAGGCAAGATTATCCTTATGATAAGGGAGAGTGAATTAAGCTATTTTGGCTGAGGCATATTTTTATAAATTCATCCAATTAGCTTCCCTTGTTGTAGTTTTGGCTCACCAAACATTGTTCTCATTATAATTTAGCATCCCATATAATTTCATCTGCAGGGAGAGTCTGTACTAGGCATGGCGATGCTTACATGTCAGCCTGTGTGACTGCAAGAGTCTCAGTACAATTTGATAACATGGCACTCAGATTCTAGACATTATTCTCTGTGTGCTTAGTGAGTGTGATGACATAACCTTCAGAAAGATTCATCCTTTCTCACATATTGATAAATCAACTTTTACATCTACAAAGTTGAGAGCCAGAAATTAAAACCTTATTAATTCACTAAGGCATCCCTATGACGGCAGTCTTCCAACTAGCTCCATTCTGGGGCACTCTGACATCATTATACACTTTCCAATGAAAGCAGGGAGTGTATGTGATTAAAGGGAGAGCCCTGTGGCACTCCTGAAAAATCTCCCCTCCCAGTTCACATTGACTTATTAACCAACACTCACGATCATGTGAAACTCTAGAACTGGATCTGGGTGCCTGGCAGGATGACATGGTGTGAGGCTCAAGCAGCACTGTGGGAATTCAAGCATCTGCTTATTTCTGAGAGAAAAAGTGTAAAGCAAAATAATATCTTTTAACAAACGTTTGTATTTGACTAAAGAGGAAGCAAGCACTTAATTTATGAATTTGCTAATTGCTCTTCTGAGCTGAGAATATCTGTGTTGGATATTAGTCATTATCCATATTTGGCACAGAATAATCCCGAGGGTTAAATGACATTGTTCCTACAGTGGGCACCTGAAGACTGGCTGTAAAAGCAATCCTGGCCAGGGGCGGTGGCTCACGCCTGTAATCCCAGCACTTTGGGAGGCCAACGTGGGTGGATCATGAGGTCAGGAGTTTGAGACCAGCCTGGCCAACATAGTGAAACCTCATCTCTACTAAAAATACAAAAAAATTAGCTAGGCACGGTGGCAGACACCTGTAATCCCAGCTACTTGGGCGGCTGAGGCAGGAGAATCACTTGAACCTGGGAGGCAGAAGTTGCAGTGAGTCGAGATTGCACCAATGCACTCCAGCCCAGGTGACAGTGTGAGACTCTGTCCAAAAAAAAAAAAAAAAAAAAAAAAGAAAGAAAAGAAAAAAAAAAGAAGAAAAAAAGAGAAAGAAAAAAAAGGAAAAATAAATAAATAAATAAATAAATAAATAAATAAATAAATAAAAGCAACCCTAACACTACTGAGGCTATTGACAGTGGCACTTTGCTCTTCTGTTAGGACCTTGGGAAAATTTTTTCCCCCTGAATACAGTATAATAAACTTGGTTCTTATTTCTCTTTCTCTCCCCCTCCTTTTTTCTTCCCTCCCCACTACCACATGCACACACACAAATAGACAGATTTGTTTATATTTGACTTTCTAAAAACCTGTTACTAGAAAGGCACATTAATACATTTCTCCTGTGCTGATAGTAATCAGGCAACTCTGGTTTCTATTGGAGGCAATTTCTTACGTATTAAATGCCAGAAAAAGGGCATCCCTCCGTTTTTGTAGAGAGCCTTTCTTTATGAAGACTAATGACCACATTAGTTAGTCAGTCAGTCAATAATACTTACCAAATGTCAGTAGAGCTGAAGTGAACACCAACAGAAAATCACATTTTACAAATGCAATTTACTTGGTATCCTAACATGCCATGTCATAATAATTATTGAGGCTTTTCTTCTCTGCTGCATTGGTCTAATGAAAGTGGCTAGAAAAATATGGGTGCCCATGTAGCCTCCTGGAAGCACCTGTATGACTTTTCTAGAAGCGAGGTTCCTGGATAAAGATGAATTTTTAAAAACTGGAATGAATGAGCAGCAATAGCAGAAGGAGAAAAGTGAGTGAGGGCTCTCCAAGAAGCCATCTGGCAGGCTAAGGGTTCTGAGGGAAGCTCTGGTTTCAGAAGCAACTCAGGAATTACTTCTGTCATATTAGGATGGGATGGTAGGAGATTGGGAACTCTAGGGACTAGAAGTCATTTAATTTCCTGTCTACAATCCTTAGAAGAGGTTTTGAGACTTGCAACCTAGGACCTTAACTAGTCATCTTCCCTCAGCATTGATAGAATTCTTTATTATACATGTTAATATCAGATTAGTCAGGATGGGCTGGATTATGCTGTGTTAACAGCCATTCTCTAAATCTCTGTGGCTCAACAGGGAGCTCTGCCTGTCATGGTCACTTGGGACCCAGGCTTTGGGTATAAGGCTACAGCACATGGAAAATGTATGAATGTCTCTCAGATTGTTAAAGCTTCAGCTGGAAGTGACATGTCATTCTGCTCACAGTTCATTGGCTAAATGAGTCACGTGGCTCTCTCTAACTTCAAGGATGGTATGAAATTGCAATCCTACCATGTCTCTAGAAGGAGAACCAGCCCTAATCACAATGCTACATGTTTATAGCTTGCCTCATAGAGTTTACTGTATTCTCCTGGTATAATTTTCTTACATGCTCAACTGGAGAGGAAGCTCTTAAATAGAAAAAAAATCACAGTAAATTTCCTTTAAAAGATCTATTTTACAACTCTGGCATGATGGAGCACAATGGAGTCCTTAGTAATGGACTCCATCTCTTCCATCAGATAAAATCTTGAGAACTGAAGTTAAAATTTGAATAATGAAACCAAAGGAAAAACAAATTAAATGAATTTTAAGACACTTGAGATAAGAACAACTGTGGCATCAGCACAATTCAATTTAATAATGTATTAATTATTTTGCAGAAAAGTGAAAACAAATTGATAGCCAAATCAATGCAGCATTAAGCCACCATTTGGTCTAATTTCTTGCTGAATTGACAAAACAAAACACTAGTTTAGTTATATAAACATGGCTGATGTTTATACAAACAACAGAATTTGCCGGTAGCATTATCACTGGAAAATAAGATGTGTACTTAATTCTTGTATGTTCTGAGCCCATCTAGGAAGAACATAAAAGACGAAGAACAAAGCAATCACAGGATGTTATCATGAAAATATCACCTTTGGCTGGAGTAAAGTTTTGGCTAAATGTGGCACTAGTATTTATTACAGCTCACCTTTTTATAATGAAGGGCTATGGACTGAACATTCTTATTATTTCCCATTTTCTTACCACTCTATCCCAACACACATGCACATGCATGCACACACGCACACACACTGGCACCCACACCCATGCATGTGGGACACACAGAGCAGCCTAGGCAATTTCAATTGTTGGCAGCTTTGCTTTTATTAGGTATTAGTCTACCGACTTGCTTTCTCTTTAGAGAGACTAAGTGAAACCAAACTCATTTCCACCCAGTTAGCCTGCTGGAACCTGTAACAGTTACTGTAATGTTAAAAGCAGTAAAACAAAATAAAAACCAGTCAGTTCACTTACTCCCGAAGTCCGCAGTTTGGTGTTCAGCTTTAAAACATATGCTCTGGGTGTCCTGTGGTGGCTACCAGAGGCTTTGGTGAGTCATTGTCAACCCAGTGGCTAGAGAAGTGCTGGAATGCCCCTCTTAAATACAGAGCCAGTTTGTCCTTCAGAATGGCTGCTTGAACGAATTTATTGCTCAACTCGAAAGGCCGTTTTTTATAACCCACTGCAGTTGTACTTCATGTGTTTCTCCACCTATCCTGTAAAGCGTATTGTGAAATTAATTTTGTAGATTTCCTCACACTGCAGTGACTAGGGAAATCACCCATTCGTTATTATCTAATGAGGAGAAAGTGGAAACATCTAGAAGCACTGCTCCCATCCTCCTCCCCAGCCCACACAGACACCTACCTCAGGCCCTCCCTGTCCCAGGTGAGCAGAGGGCCCCACCTTTGGAGGTTGCCTCCCTTCCACCTTCACCAATCCTATGACCAGATTATCCCCAAGGAAATGTCAATCTCCAGGCAGCAAGGGAATCATATAAAGATAAGATCATTGAGAGATTTTTTTCCTCCGTGATTGGCAGTTTATATTTTCTTGGGTCTACAAATCTGACAGTATTTATTAAATTTTCTAGTTTGATACTGACCTCTGTCTGATGCTGGGCTGTCACCATGCCCAAGACTGAGGGGACCCACAGTCTAGCTAGAAGGCATGGATCAATTCCAACTGCCCTACCCCTAGCCTGTGGGCAGGAGAAAGCTCTCAGGCTCTGGCAGAGGAGTCCCAGGGGCAGGATGCATGATCTTCCACTGTGCCTCCCAGCCATGCTGAGCAGCAAAGCAGACCATGAGCACGTCTCCCTTAAATTCATTTGCTTGATTTGTCCTTGAGTGTCCTTGGATGGGTTTGTTCCCTCCTTGTGCAGTATGTCTTGGTCATCCTGATTCCTGGGCTTGGCTCCCAGGTTGATTCTTTCCCTGACACAAAACAGGCACTATGGGCAAAGACACCTGCAGCCTTGGAGAGACCAGTGATGCTGGATGTTTCCTGTTAGCACTCAGGAAAGCTCAGAGCCTTTGATGAGCATCTTTTGATCCATTAGTTAAAACCACGCTGGGTTCTTTATAGTGGTTAGTTAGCTCTGGGCTATGGGATTGTGGAAGACATTTATTTCTTCTTTGGATTCACCTGGATTTTCTGCAACGGACATGTATCGATAAAATACATGGTGCTTTTAAGAAATTGCCCCATCATCATGTTGCTGTTGTTGTTATTGATATTGTTGTTTCTGATGGATAGAGATCTAGGCCTGACACTCCAAGCAGTGTGAACAGCATTTACCTTGATAAGCATTCTTACATCTTAACTCTCGGGAATTTTAAATAGAAGTGTTCCGTGTGATTAAATTAACAGGTTTAGAGATGAGTGTCCTGGTTATTTCCTTTGTTCTCCTCCTGGTAGCTGCCTGCACTCACAGCATGTTGGGAATGGTGATTATAAATGTAACCATGCTCTCTTCTTGTAAGTGGAGAGCCCAGGTACCTCTTATCCAGCATGTGACCCTCTTTCTACCTCAGGATAGTCATACTCTTAGGCTTCCTGGATTTATTCAGGGCCAAGGAGTGGTCAAGGTCCTTTTTGTTTTGCCCTATTCCCTTTGGAAAACATTTAGTTTATGCCCATGTTACAGATTGCAAAATACAGGCACATATTCTCACTAATGTGGTCTGCATGTCCCTTTGCAAGGATCACGAGGTCAGGAGATGGAGACCATCCTGGCTAACACAGTGAAACACAGTCTCTACTAAAAAATAAAAAATAAAAAAAAATTAGCCAGGCGTGGTGGTAGGTGCCTGTAGTCTCAGCTACTTGGGAGCCTGAGGCAGGAGAATGACGTGAACCCAGGAGGCAGAGCTTGCAGTGAGCCTAGATTGCACCACTGCACTCCAGCCTGGGCAACAGAGCGAGATTCTGACTCAAAAAAAAAAAAAAAAAAAAAAAGAAAAGAAAAGAAAAGGAGCCTCTTTGCCTCTTTACCCTAATCTGGGCAAGCCTTGCAACCTGATTTGCCAAAAAAATATGAAGGAAGCAATGTGATGTGATTTTCCAGGCTAGAATGTAAGAAGCCTTGGAGCTTCTGCTTTTACTGTCTTCAGATGCTGCCTGAAACCACTGTAAGAAGCTCTAACCTACTGGAGGATAAGGGGTGAGCCCAAGAGCATCAAGGCTCCCATCAACAGCCAGTCCTGTGAGTGAGGCCATCTTGGACCTGCCAGCTCAGTAAACCCTTTTGCTGAACACAGCCCAAGGAAGGAACCCTTGCAAAATGAAATCATGTGGTCAGTTTGCGGGGTGGTTATTACACAGCAGTAGATGATTGAAAAGGCCCAGTGTCTTCCTGGGGACTGAAACACCCACCTCCTGTTCATGTTGATACACGGTGAGCAGCATATGGATGTGGGAGTGGTGTTGGTTGCAGGTGAGGTAGAGAAGCAGTGAACAGAGCACGAAGACCTGATGTTCCAGGGTCGGGAGTTTAGACTTGATCCTAACAGCGGCCATAGGCGGATTTAGGCAAGAGAGTAACGTGGTCAGATTTTCATTTTAGAAAGTTACTCTGACATCCATGTGGAAAATGAACTTGAAGGTCACAAGGCTGATGGAGCCAGGAAGACCATTTGGGAGGTGATTGTAGTAATCTACTTACGAGTTCATTACGAGCTGGGGAATGGGGAGGTGTTAGAGAAGAGAAAATGGATTTGAAGAGCTGAGGGATGTTAAAAAGGCAAAACTGGGCCAGGGATGGCGGCTCACACCTGTAATCCCAGCACTTTGGGAGGCCAAGGTGGGCAGATCATGAGGTCAAGAGATTGAGATCATCTGGGCCAATATGGTGAAATCCCCTCTCTACTAAAAATACAAAAATTATCTGGATGTAGTGGCACACACCTATAATCCCAGCTACTTGGGAAGCTGAGGCAGGAGAATCGCTTGAACACAGGCAGCGGAGGTTGCAGTGAGCTGAGATTGCACCACCGCACACCAGCCTGGTGACAGAGCAAGACTCCGTCTAAAAACAAAAACAAAAACAAAAAAACCGGAAAATTGTTGGGACTTGTAATTAATTGGGTGAGGAAACTGAGTGGCAAATGGTCTCAGCTCTACACATGGAGAGCCCTGGGGACATAGGGAGAGCATATTTGGAAGGAAAGATGATAATTTTAGTTCTTAAAATTTTGTTTGTGGAGGAGACATTCAGACAGAGAATTCTGTTGGGCAGTTTTATGTAGAGAACTACATCTAAAGAGGTCAGAAGTGAACTTCAATAAAATTGAGGTGACCAATGATCATCAGTTTTAAAGAGGACATATTTTCTTTTTCTGTTAAAGGGAACACACCTATGAGTCAGAAAGCCAGACTTTTATTTTTTCTCGCCAAAAGTTATTGTACAACCTACAGAAGAGAGTGTAAACACTGGTCTTTAAGATGAATTGTAAAGCTCTAAAGAGAATAAGAAAAATTGCGTTTCATGATTTATGATGGATAGCATTTTAGAGTTGATTTCATAAGAGAATTCGTTAAGCCAATAGACAACCATGGCATTTTAACTGTAGTGTTTAAGTATCTTTAGCTCTGATTTTTTAATTAGCAGAAGCAAATAAAGAGAGCTTCGTTTTAACCATGAGAAATCTCTCTTCTGTATTTCATGTGACTAAATTTGTCCAGACGCTGAAGTTCAAATAATCACAGTGATTGCCAATATAATGGTTAATTTCCTGAGAAGTAAGTTCATACTTTGCCACAGTTTGCTCCCCTGTAAGATCAGACAGAAAAATAAGAATAAAACCGACTAATAGCTATTGATTGCCTCTGGAACAGCTATCAATATAAAGAGCCAGACAAAACACATAATAAAGAATTGTGTTAGTGCCAGAGAGACTTTAGAGATCATTTGTCCATCTCTTTACCTTCTCCCACTTGTTTCTGTCCCTCCACCCCACCAGCTCTGATACAGACACACAGGATATTAGTAAAGGATAGTATTTGTTGAGAGCCTTTTGCGTGTCAGGCACTGCTTCTAAACGTTGTATAATACCAGCTCATTCAATCTTCAAATCAATGCTATACAGTAGGTACTCTTCTTCTTCTTTTTTTTTTTTTTAATTTTACAACTGAGGGACTGAGGTTTGGAGAGGTTAGGTAACTTGTTCAAGGACACCAAGCCAGTCAGGGTGCCACTGGACCTAAGACAAGGTAACCTGGCTCTGAGACCAACCCCACAGAGAAGTATGTGGATGCTGACAACACTGTAGGAAGTTACAAGGAGCAAAAGAATAGCAGCCTCAGCCCTGAATTCCACTGTAAGCTTCCCTCTAATCTTCCCTGCCTCACTCTCAATCAAATAAAGAGCTGATCAGGAAGCAACTATGCACGGTCTCCACAGTCTCTTATCTTAACCCAGACTCTCCTTTCTATTGATAGCAGGTCTGTAGATAATAATTCTTTCAACCAATTGACAATCAGAAAATCTTTGAATCTATCTATGACCTGTAAGCCCCATTACTTTGAATTTTCCTCCTTCCAGACCAAACCAATGCAGACCAAACCAATGCAGAACTCCTATGTGCTGATGGTGGTCTTACATTTCCCTAAGTTTCTGCCGACTAAACTGTGCACACGTTCTCAGGACCTCCTGAAGCTGCGTCACAGGCACTAATCAAAGAACACAACCAAGGTGAGTCTCAATCATTTCAAGAAATCTATTTGCAAGGTTAAGGACACACCTGAGAAAAGAACAGAGAACCACAGGAAAAACTGTGGTCCGTGCTTTTCCCAAAGGTTGTCTGGGGACCTCAGTAAGTAAAGGGGAAAAGTGCGGGTATTGGGGAAAGGGGAAGAAGTGGAAAAAATGGGTGTGGGTAAATCAGAGGCAAATGGTTGCATTCTTCTGTCTTTGGTCAGCGTTCACTGAATACACATTTTGCATGCGATGGAGGTAGAGGCAGGGATGTAGCTTTTTTGTCTTTGTGTAATAGCTATCTTATTTAGGAACCAGATGGGAAGCAGGTTTGCATAAGCCAGTTCCCAGCTTGGCTTTTCCCTTTGGCTTAGTGAGTCTGGGGTCCCAGGATTTATTTTCCGTTCTCACAGGTTGTGGTCCTCACATTTGGCTCAAAATATTCAAATTTTTTCCAGAGTTTGGCCTTTTCTTCAGCACTGGGAATTGTGATCCAAAGCTTTTCCCGATGAAGCACAAAGTTGGAGAAAAAAAAACGCAAACTAAACAACCACAATGAAACAGAACAGAGTTAATCTGCTGTAGCTCAAGAGAGGATGTACCTGCCCCCACCCCGCATCCCTGGGCTCGGGTTTGCCTTGCTGACCTCTGCTGCCACCTGGTGCCACACAGAGAAACTGAGGAGAAACCACATCAGTCTCCTTCAGCCTCAGCTTCACATCTGTGGGTCAAGCAACCCTTTCAGAAGCTGTATAATGTGGGAAAGCTTTCCTCTCAGGAAAATGCACACATCCAACTTTGAGAAGATGCCCTTGGGGGCGCTTCAAGGATTCTAGATAATAACCCCCTTTCCCGAACATCCAAGAACCTAAGATTTTTTTTTTTTTGAGAAAGTCTCGCTCTCTCTCCCAGTCTGGAGTGCAGTGGCGTGATCTTGGCTCACTGCCAGCTCCACCTCCCAGGTTCACGCCATTCTCCTGCTTCAGCCTCCCAAGTAGCTGGGGCTACAGGCACCTGCCACCAAACCCGGCTAATTTTTTTGTATTTTTAGTAGAGACGGGGTTTCACCGTGTTAGCCAGGATCGTCTTGATCTCCTGACCTTGTGATCCACCCGCCTCGGCCTCCCAAATTGCTGGGATTACAGATGTGAGCCACCGCACCTGGTCCAAGAACCCAAGTTTTAGATCTAGAGTGATGTCAGCATGACATTGATTTCCTGAGGCCCAGGGGCGAAGGAGCTGAGGACAGCAGAGGGGTGAAGGAACTCAGCTACAGACAGCAGCAGCTGATGCACAGGCCTCCCAGCGCCTGAAGTCACCCGGAATTGGGAAGTGCTCAGAAGCTTACAAAGCTGCCTCGAGGTGGGAACATGACATAAATCCAAGAGCAGATCCCTGATCCTATAAAAATGTACTAGATGCAGTGGGGGCATTTTAAATGAGCAGAGAAGGACAGACAGATAAACAGAAGGACAAACAGTATTGGGATTGGGATAAATGCTCAGCTTTTGCCCAAATCTTAGTGACTTAAGCATCACTTATTTGCTCACGATTCTGTGGCTGGACCATTTGGTTTGGCTCACAGGGCAGGGACTGTGCTGGTCTTACCTGAGCAGACCTGCATGTCTGCGGTCAACTGGGTTGGCAGAGACAGAGTGACTGTCTTCCTCCAGGAAGCAGCAGGTTAACTGGTTGGCAGAGACAGAGGGACAGAGGGACTGTCTTCCTCCAGGAAGCAGCAGGTTAACTGGTTGGCAGAGACAGAGGGACAGAGGGACTGTCTTCCTCCAGGAAGCAGCAGGTTAACTGGTTGGCAGAGACAGAGGGACTGAGGGACTGTCTTCCTCCATGAAGCAGCAGGTTAACTGGTTGGCAGAGACAGAGGGACTGAGGGACTGTCTTCCTCCAGGAAGCAGCAGGTTAACTGGTTGGCAGAGACAGAGGGACTGAGGGACTGTCTTCCTCCAGGAAGCAGCAGGTTAACTGATTGGCAGAGACAGAGGGACTGAGGGACTGTCTCCCCCCAGGAAGCAGCAGGTTGGCTCTGTTTCCTTCGTGGGGCAGCTGGTCTCCAGGGCAGCAAGAGAGACCAAGCCCCAGTGCACATTCTACAGCCTCTGTGCACATCAGACTTGTTAATATCCCATTGGCCAGTGTAAGTCACTTGGCCAAGCCCAGATTAAGGAGTGGAAAGATGGAGGCTATCTCCTCCTGGGAGAGGAGGCAAAGGAGGTGGGAGTATTATGTGGCCACTTATGTTTGCAATCTACCATACTTAGCACTTTGAGAAAAGAATTAACTGAGAAACTTGCTTCAAATAGGGCCAGTAAAATGAAGCCCCAATTGAAGTAAAATGCATATATAAAAAATGAAACTGTGACCGATTTTAAGGACAGTATTGGCAAATATTTCTGTGCTCTTGGAGGAGAAGACCCTTATTGGCATGACATGTCAGAAACCACAATGAAAGAATTATTTTAACTTGCATTCATAAAAATTAAAATTATTCATTAAAAACATCGTGAATGAAATTAAAAGTCAAAATGTAAGCCAGAAAATTATTTACAACGTATGTGTCAGGAAAAGACAATACCCTTCAAACTTTGAGAGTTTACATCAGAAAGAAAACAGCAAATGACATGATCCAAACTTGATAAAGGACATGAAAAAGAGCCAGCACTTAGTATGTTTTCTGAATGAATAAGTAGCCAACAGCACATGAAAATGCGTGTAATCCATTTGTAAGCAGAGAAATGCAAACTAAAACAGTAAAGTGTCATTTTCACTTCCTGGATTGGCAAAGGGTTTTATGTATTTTACTGATAGTGCTCAATATTAGCAGTAAACAACAAATGGTGAGTAAATATGAGCTTCGGAACCTCAGGGAAATGATCTCCTTATTTCAACCTGTAGATTCCTTCCTACAACCAGTGTCTACTGAGCACCTACTATGTGCCAGGCACAGCCTAAGTCCTGAAGGTGTAGTCTCCACTGAGAAGGTGATATTTGCACAAAGACCTGAAAGACAGGAGTGAACTGTGTGGATAACTGTGGGTACCCCTACAGGCAGAGGAGTAGCAATGTGGGTCCCAAGGTGGGACCACATCAGACATGTTCGAGGACTAGCTGAGGGAGAGAGGTGGGAGGTCAGAGGAGATGGGGGCCGGCTCTGCTGGCCGTCACGAGCACTCTGGGTGCAGAGGGCGAGAGGTGGGAGGTCAGAGGAGATGGGGGCCGGCTTTGCTGGCCAACACGAGCACTCTGGGTGCTGAGGGCGAGAGGTGGGAGGTCAGAGGAGATGGAGGCTGGCTCTGCTGGCCGTCACGAGCACTCTGGGTGCTGAGGGCAAGAGGTGGGGAGGAGGTCAGAGGAGATGGGGGCCGGCTCTGCCGGCCAACACGAGCACTCTGGGTTTTCCTCCAAATGCTATGAGAGCAGAGGAGTAACCTGGTCTGACTTGGGTGTGAGCAGATCTCTCTGGTTGTTGTTCTGGAAAAAACTGAGGTGCCCACGTGAAAGCAGAGATCGGTTAGGAGGCTGCTGCAGCAATTCAGGCAAAAATGGGTGGCGGGCCTCGGGTGTAGTGGAGGAGAAGCGATCGGATTTTGGATATTTGTAGCTCCCTCAATACGATTTCCTGGAGAAGGAGATGACTTCAATCTTCTGGCCTGAGTAGCTGAAAGGATGAAGCTGTCCTTCGCGGAGGTGGGGAATCCACAGAGAAGCGGGTAGGGAGAGAGTATCAGGAGCTCAGTTTTAGCCATGGATGTTCGAGGGGAGGTATTGAGCAGCAGATAGAGACACAGGCCTGTGGTCCCAGGAGAAGGTCTGGGGGTCACTAGCCCATGGATGGAGTCACAGGCTGCATAGATTGCAGGAAAGCGAAGGTGGAGAGAGAAGAGCAGAGTACCAGGACGGGCCATTGAGCACCCTGGTGTTGAGAGCAAGTGGCCTCTAGTCAGAGTTGGGTCAGGGCCACTGTGAGTGGGCTGCCCCCAACATGAGTCGGCTGTCTAGGACTAGTTTATCTCTGCTTCTCACTTTACTGGTATTATGGGGCAGCTCCTGCTGTCTTCCAATTTGGTGTTTGTAAAATGAGACATAAAAAGCAGGTGACAAGGATACCAGAAAGTGCACAGGTCTGAGTGGAGTATGGGGCTGTCTCCAGGGGAGAGGTGGCTGTTTGGAGGGAAGGGTGACAATGGATAATCAGGGTCCATGGGCATCCCTGCTTGTTTTGGAGCCATGGGCACTCAAATAATGTGATTTTATGAGGCTATTGAAGAAAAAATTGGCCACAGGGCCAAGAGGGCTGGGAGGACCCCAGCTCTCCGACTGGTGTTTGCTTCTCTGCCATCAGGGTCGGGAGGCCATGCCAAGCATTGCGATTTGCAGAGTCCATGAAACAGGAACACTCCCACCACAGTGACCTGCCTCTGCACACAGCCAGAATGTAGCTGACTCCTTTCTTCTCCCACTTGCATGCTTCCAAGCCTTCAAAACATACTCATCTCCATGTTCTGTAAATTAGCAATTTTTTAAAAAATAAAAAAATAAACAAACTCATCTCTGAAGGTCCAGGTGATTTTTATGTTTTACAGAAAGTTTTGTGAAGAGATGACAGAAAGGGTTATATCACATCCACACAGCAATAACTCCTCAAAAGCAACTTTTGGCCGGGTGTGGTGGCTCATGCCTGCAATCCCAGCACTTTCAGGGGCCGAGGCGGGAGGATCGCTTGTGCTTAGGAGTTTGAGACTAGCCTGGGCAACATAGCAAGTCCCCGTCTCTACTTAAAAAAGAAAAAAAAATGAGCCAGATGTGGTGGCACGCAGCTGTAGTCCCAGCTACATGGAAGACTGAGGTGGTAGGATCACTTGAGCCAGGAGGTTGAGGCCACAGTGAGCCATGGTCACACCACTGCACTCCAGCCTGGGTGACAGAGTGAGACCCTGTCTCAAACTTTTTTAAAAGTTTTAGTCTTGCCCATTTTTTTTCATTTGTCATGTTTTTAAAATCTCTTCTAACATACAGGTTTCTTTTCAAAGTTTTCTTTCCCATACAATATATTTGTTGAAAAATTTGGGATTTTTGTCACTTGATGTCCACACTGTGAAATTTGCTGGTTAGACTCTCAGTGAAGATCGACATTTTCACTATCCTTTGCGTTTTATCCAAATGACAGTTGAATCCAGAGGTTTGACTAGGACACGTGCTTGATTCTATTTTTGGTAAGATTGTAGGTGATGGTGTGTTCATTCACCAGGAGGTTTAATTATGGCTTTTATCTTAGCACCTACTACTACTTTCTACTAACACCTGTTAATACAAAGAAAGTTAATATTTTCTACTAGCACCTGTTAATCCTCAATATGTATAGATAGGATATGTATAGACACACGTGTGTCTATGCATATAATATATAATATGTCCATATTATATTTTTTTAAGAGAAGGAAAGAGCATGTGAGAGAGCACATTGCATATTTATGTTGATAATACTGATTCTAATGTAACTCAGTGGGCTGCTTCTTTCCTTGTCTTATTCCATATCTGTATCTCTGTCCTTTCACAGTGAGAATCTGGGGTTCTAGCAATACAAATATATTAATATTTACTCATTGGCTTAATCTTACAATGCACATACATTTGTTTCAGAATTGTTATATTTATACTAATATAAAAAGAAAAAAGCCTATCATGAAGATTTAATAATTTTTTGCAGATATTTTATTTTTTCAAGCAATGGTATGTAGTCCAAGTATGTTCAAAAGTCAATTTGAACTAAAAGAACAGTCAAAAATTAATCAGATTAATTATTATTTTCCCCTTAAGTTTGATTATGTCATTCATTCATTTGAAATATATTTGGATTCACTTGTTTCTCATTGCATTCGGTTTTAGAGTCTTGTAATAACTTATCTTTGCTTGCTTAATATCACACTTTGAGAGTGTAAAAGATTAACTTAATTAAAAATGTACAATTATGCACAAAAGCATTCACAGAGCAATGTCCCATTCTCCCATATTTCTTTCACCAAATTCCCCTCTAATTCTTCATAGATAATAGATGTTTTCAGATTCTGGTACATTTTGGCTGCATTTGTTTGTTTCATGCTTGTATTTTTGGTGTATTATCTAAGAACGCATTGCCAATCCACAGCAATGTTTTATTTCCATGTTTTCTTCTAAGCATGTATGGTTTTCACTCTTATATTTACATTATTGATCCAATCTAGATTTTGTATATAATGTGAGGTAGGGGTCCAGCTTCATTTTTTTTGCATATGAATATTCAGTATTCCCAGCACTTTTTGTTGAAAAAGCTATTATTCCCCACTGAATAATGTTGGCTCCCTTGTAAAAAAAGTCAGCTGAATAGAGATGTTTTGCTTAGTCTATGTAAAAGTATATTAATTTTATTGATATTTTAAAAGAACCAACTTTTAATTTTGTTGATCTCTGTATAATTTTTTAATTCTCAATTTCATTTATCTCTGCTCTAATCTTCATTTCCTTCCTTCTGCTAGCTCTGGATTTTGTTTGCTCTTCCTTTTACGGTTTATTGAGTAAAGTTTGGTTATTGATTTGACATGTTTCTTTTTTAAAATGTAGGTGTTACAACTCTGAGCACTGCTTTTGATATATCACACCCATCTTGTTATATATTTGTTTTCAATCGTCTCTAAACATTTTCTAATTTCCCTCATGATTTGTTCTTTGATTCATTGGTTGGTAAATACTGTGTTGTTTAATTTCCAAATATTTGTAAATTTTCTAGTTTTTCTTTTGTTATTGATATCTTATTTCATTCCATTGTGGCCAGTGAAGATACTTTGCATGATTTCAATCTTTTTAAGTTTATTGAGCTTATCTTATGGCCTAACATATCATCTGTGCTGGAGAATGTTCCATGTTCACTTGAGAAGAATGTGTACTCTGCAGTTTTTGAGAGAAGTGTTATCTATAGTTATTGCTTATAGTTTTATTCAAATCCTCTAATTCCTCCCTTGATATTTGCTCTAGATGTTTTATCTTTTATTTAAAGTTGGGTTTTCAAATGCCCAACAATTTTCGTGGAATTGTCTGTCTCTCCCTTTAATTCTCTCAATGGTTACATTATATATTTTGGAGCCCTGTTAGTTGGTGTACATATATTTATAATTGTTATATCTTCTTAATTAATTTTGAAATCAATATATACTGTTCTTTGTATTTTGTAACAGTTTTTGACTTAAAGTCTATTTTGTCTGATATAAGTATATTTGCCTCAGATCTCCTTTGGTTATTACTTACATGGAATATTTTCTCCCATCCTTTCATTTCAACTCATTGTGTATTTTGATCTAAAGTGAGTATCTTGTGGACAATATAGTTGGATCATTTTTAAAAAATCCATTCTGTTAATCTCTTTCTTTGGATTGGAGAGTTTAATTCATTTGTATTTAATGTAATTACTGATAAAGAGGGGCTTACTCCTACCATTTTGCTTTTGTTTTCTGTATGTCTTATACCTCCTTTGTTCCTAATTTCCTCAATTATCGCCTTCTTTTGTGTTTAGTTGCTATTTTGTAGCATATCACTGTGTTTACCCTGTGCTTTCCTTTTCTGTATTTTCAAAAGATATTAACTTAGTGGTTACCATGGGGATTTACAATTAACATTCTTAATTTGGAACAATTTAGAGTAAATTGAAACAACTTCAATAGTATACAAAATCTCTATTATTATTTAGTTTCCTATGAATTTCTTTATGTTGGTAATTTCACAAACCACATCTGTATACATCATGCTTCATTAACATAGATTTATAGTCATTATTTTACACATTTGTTTTAAAACATATAGAATATTAAAAAAGACTTACAAAAAATGTGATAATTGCTTTTATATTTACCTATGTAGTTATCTTTACTGGAGTTATTTCTTTATGTGGTTTTGAGTTACTTTCTAGTGTTTTTTAGTTTGTATCTGAAGGAGTCTTTTTTTTAAAAGTGTATCTTGAAGTACAGCCTACCAAACATGAACTTTTAAAGCTTGCTTGCTTTTCTTTCTTTCTTTCTTTCTTTCTTTCTTTCTTTCTTTCTTTCTTTCTTTCTTTCTTTCTTTCTTTTTCTTTCTTTTTTCTTTCTTTCTTTCTTTCCTTCTTTTTCTTTCTCTCTCTTTCTCTCTCTCTTTCTTTCTTTCTTTCTCTTTCTTCTTTCTTTCTTTCTCTTCTTTCTTTCTTTCTTTCTTTCTTTCTTTCTTTCTTTCTTTCTCTTTCTTTCTTTCTCTTTCTCTCTCTCTCTCTTTCTTTTTTTTAATCTGGGAATGTGTAATTTATCCTTAATACTTGAAGGGGCATCTTCCAAGTTATAGAATTTTTGGTTGACAGTGTTTTTTTCTTTCAGAACTTTAAAATGTCATCCTAAGCTCTTCTGGCACCCATGGTTTATAATGAGCTCTCTGCTGTCAAACTTACTGAGGATCCTTTGTAAATGACGCGTTGCCTTTTTCCTAAGCTCTTCTGGCATCCATGGCTTATAATGCACTATCTGCTGTCAAACTTATTGAGGATCCTTTGTAAATGACGCGTTGCCTTTCTCTTGCTGCTTTCAAACATTCGCTTTGCCTTTTGACAATTTGAAACATAGTGTGTCTTGGTGTGAATATCTTTGTATATTTCCTTGATGAAGTTCACTGAGCTTTTTGAATGTATATATTTGTTTTTAGTGAAATTTGGGAAGCTTTCAAACACATTTCTTCAAATAGTCTTCCTGCCCCTCACTCCCCACCAGGATTCTGTATGTAGGCATTCTTGATGTTGTTACACAGGTCTTTAGGCTCTATTCTTTTTTGTTGTCATTCTTTCATTTTCCTGCTCTTCAGACTGAATCATTTCATTTGATCTATCAAGTTCACTGATTCTTTTTTCCAGCTGCTCAAATCTTCTATTGGAACCCTAAGTAAAAAGTAACTTTTTACTTATTGTACTTTTCAGCCTCAGAATTTTTTTGTACCTTTAAAAAAATTCATATTTCTTATTTATTTATATGTCATTCTCTTGGGTTTCTTTAGCTCTTTAAGTTTATTTAAGACAGTTATATAAAGTTTTTGTCTAATATTTTCAATATCTGCTTACTCAGGGAGAGTCTCATTTATTTCTTCTGTAAATGGGCCATAGTTTTGTGTTTATTTGCATGCTTCTTAATTTTTGTTGAAAACTGGACATTTTGGATATTATAATGTGTTTATTCTGGAAACCAAATTTTTCCCTTCTTCAAGGTTATTTTTGTTACCCACTGTGGGATGTAGTTTTTATTTGTTTAGTAACTTTTGTAAACTGGTTTTGTAATATCTGCATTCTTTTTTATATTTGATGTTTGAAGGCTCGGTTCCTTTAGCTTGTGTTCATTTAGCATTTAGTGATTTAAAAATGATTTCCTTGACTGCAAGGAGCCAAGAAAGAAAAAAATATGAAAAACTTCTCCCAGACTTTGCTTACTGACTCTGTATTGGGGCTCCCTCAACACTTAGCGGAGCCATATATAATTCTGCCTTAGCCTTCATTTTTTCTTGCTGTGAGCCTAGGAATTACTAAAGGTGAGTTATTAGTGTCTTCTCAGGCCTTTTCTGAGCATGTGTCCCACCTTGGCCATGCTTATGGATTTCCAAATTTTTCATTGTATGTAAGCACTTTTGAGTATTCGAATTTCCCAAAGGAACTTTCTCTCCTGCTTTTTCCTCAAGTTTTCAGTACAGTATATCTTGCCTCAATTGTAATATTTTGCCTCAAATGGCTGAGAGTTGTTAATTTGCCTTTGGACGATCTGATTTCTAAAGGTTTGGTGGAATTCTCTGTGAAAACATCTAAACCTAGTGTTTGTGTGTGTGTTATAATTCCATGACAACTGTATTTCTCTATGGAAATTGCTCACATAAGTGCGGTACTTCTTTTTTTTTTTTTTTTTTTTTGAAGTCAGTTGTGGTGAATTGTATTTTTCTAGAAAATTACCCATTCCCTCTAGCTTTCAATGTTTTTCATAGATGTGAACAACATTGTTTTTAATGATTTTTTATTTGCTGATTATCAATAGTTATTTCTCTCACCATTCCTTATTCATTTTTGTGCTTTCTCTTTTTTTTATTCATGATTAAAAGATCTAATTTTTTTGTCAACTTTGTTGATTTGTTTAAAGAACAAGATTTTTGGTTTACTGATTTGATCTGTTTTTTGGCTTCTTATTTTATTAATTTTCACTTTTTTCTACTTTGGGTTCTTTCTTGTACTTTCTGCTTACTCTTTTAGATACTTTTTACATTTTTCAGCTGATAATTTAATTCCTACACTTTTATTAATAAATGTGTTAAGGCTATAGATTTTCCTCTGATCACTGCTTTAACTATATCCCATATACAGATGCTCCTTGATGTATGATGAAGTTATGTCTCAACAAACCCCCGTAAACTGAAAATATCATAAGTTAAAAATGCATTTAGCACACCGAAAATTATAGGTTGGCCTAGCTTACTTTGAACATGCTCAGAACATTTAGATTAGACTTCAGTTGGTCAAAATAATCTAACAAAATGTCTAAATAAAGTATTGAATAACTGATATTTATTAAATATGGTACTGAAAATAAGAAACAGAATGGTTGTATGGGTACTCATCATTAATGTACGTAGCTGAAATTACACAGGGCCTGAAGAATTTTTGAAGCATTGAGCTAAAGTTAATTGCTGAATGATGGGACTAATACTTTGACACAGTCAGTCTCTGTCTCTTCCGATCATGAGGGTTGAGAATAGCTGGTAGAAAGTATTGATGCCTGTTGATGGTAGGCAGGCATTATGTTCTTCAGGAAGATATCAAGATGGATTATCTACCTTTATTATCATTTAGCTGACTGGAAGCTGCAGCTCACCGCTGTTGCACAACATTGTGAGAGAGCATTGTGCCACATATTGGTAGTCCAGGAAAATATCAAAATTCAAAATTCGGAGTAGGGTTTCTTTCTTTTTTTTGAGATGGAGTCTCACTCTGTTGCCAGGCTGGAGGCAGTGGCACGATCTCGGCTCACTGCAACACCTCCGACTCCCTGGTTCAAGTGATTCTCCTGCCTCAGCCTCCCGAATAGCTGGGATTACAGGCACGCACCACAATGCCCAGCTAATTTTTGTATTTTTAGGAGAGACGGGGTTTCACCATGTTGGCCAGGATGGTCTTGATCTCTTGACCTTGTGATCCGCCCTCCTCGGCCTCCCAAAGTGCTAGGATTACAGGCGTGACCCACTGCGCCCATCCTGGAGCATGGTTTCTAATGAATGGATATCACTTTCACACCACCATAAAGCTGAAAAATGGTTGAACCATTGTAACTTGGAAACAGTTTGTATTCTGGTATGCACTGTTTTATTATCACTATTCAGAATATTTATGTCTTGTTTTTGTATTTCCACTGTCATCCTTGTGTTTGGTTTTTTTTCTTGCTGATTTGTTCCAATTCTTTGTAGATTCTGGATATTAGTCCTCTGTTGGATGCATAGTTTGTGAAGATTTTCTCCCACTCTGTGGGTTGTCTGTTTACTCTGCTGATTATTTATTTTGATGTGCAGAAGGCTTTCAGTTTAATTAAGTCCCATCTATTTATCTTTGTTTTGTTGTGTTTGCTTTTGGGTTCTTGATTGTGAAGTCTTTGCCTAAGCCAATGTCTAGAAGGGTTTTTCCAATCTTATCTTCTAGAATTTTTATGGTTTCAGGTCTTAGATTTAAGTCTGTGAACCATCTTGAGTTGATTTGTTTATAAGGTGAGAGATGAGGATCCAGTTGCATTCTTCTACATGTGGCTTGCCAATTATACCAGCACCATTTGTTGAATAGGGTGTCCTTTCCCCACTTTATGTTTTTGCTTGCTTTGTCAAAGATCAGTTGGCTGAAAGTATTTGGCTTTATTTCTGGGTTCTTTATTCTATTCCATTGGTCTATATGCCTATTTTTATACCAGTACCATGCTGTTTTGGTGACTATGGCCTTATAGTATAGTTTGAAGTCGAGTAATGTGATGCCTCTAGATTTATTCTTTTTGCTTAGTCTTGCTTTGGCTATGTGGGCTCTTTTTTGGTTCCATGTGAATTTTAGCCTTGTTTTTTCTAGTTCTGTGAAGAATGATGGTGGTATTTTGATGGGAATTGCATTGAATTTGTAGGTTGCTTTTGGCAGTATGGTCGTTTTCACACTGTTGACTCTATCATCCATGGTGAACAGCAGGGGGTGTGGGTAGGACCCATGGGAGACAGACGTGTTTCTTCTTTGTGGTCGACTGCAGCTTGTTGGAGGTGTGGATAAAGCACTGGGGTCTTTGCTCCTTTGTTAGTTCAAGGGTAGCAGGGGTAGTACCACTGTAGAGGCAGTGGCAGAGGGGCTTTTAGTTGACCCTGGGGGTTCCATCTCCAGGTGGAGCTGCTATTACTGGGAATGTTCAGCCTGGGGGATGGGGCAGCTGTACTGCTGGTGTGAGGTTAGGGCTCTGCTTGTTGGGGATCAGGGGGTTTAGGGCTCACTGGGAGGAGAGACTGGTCTCCTCTCCATATGGGAACTGTGGCATGCTGTAAGTTCAGGTGCAGCCTTCAGGCGCTTTGTTTCTTTCCAAGCCTGAGGACAGCATGGATAGAACTGCTGCTGTGACACGGGCAGAGAGGCTGCCGTTTGCCTCTGGGAGCCTCTCCCTAGGGAAAGTCTGGGCCACTGCCAGTAGGTAAGCTCAGCTGTGGGTGGGGCAACTGATCTGCAGTTATGAGCTGGGTGCTGTGCCTGGTGGAGTGGGTGGTGGGGGTTCCCAGGGGAGGGGGCTGGATTCCTCTCTGTATGGTGGCTGTGGTGTGCTGAAGGTGCCACTGTAGTGACTAGACTCTTAGTTCCTTCTGCAGCCCAAGGGCTGTTATGGTGGTACCACTGCAATTGCAGTGGTTGTGAATTGACTCTGGTATTTCCTCCTTGGAGAAATGCTGGGCTACTTCTTATTGAAGTCGTCAGGTGGGGGGCAGGGTAGTTGTACCGGAGTCCCAGGCCAGGTGGCCCTGCTTGGTAAGGAGAAGTGAGGACTGAAAACTGCAGGAAGAAAAATGCAGCCACTCTTCTGTGAGGCAGGTGCTCTGTGCTGGGGGTTCAGACCAACCCCTGGTACCTGTGGACTCTCCAGGGTGAGGGCTGCGAGATTGGTTTTCTTATTAGATGATCTGTTTAATGCTGAAAGTGGGGTGTTGAAGTCCTTCACTATTATTATATTTGAGTCTACCTCTCTGTTTTGATCTAGTAGTATTTGCTTTATGAATCTGGCTGCTCCAGTGTTGGCTGCATATATATTTAAAATTGTTATATCCTCTTTCTGGATTGATTCCTTTATCGTTGTATAATAAGCATTTTTGTCTTTTTTCTAAAGCTAGTTTTGACTTAAAGTCTGTTTTGTCTGACAGAAGTATAGCTACTCCTACTCATTTTGGTTTCTGTTCATGGAATACCTTTTTCCATCTCTTTTCTTTTAGTTAATATGTGTTTTACAGGTAAAGTGCATTTGTTCAGGGAAGCACATAGTCAGATCATAGTTAAAATTCATTCAGTCAGTCTATATCTTTCAGGTGGAGAATTTAGAAGAAATATATATTTTTTAAAATTAGTTAATTTTTTATTTTTGTTTGTTTTTTGTAGAGATAGGGTTTCACTGTGTTGACCAGGCTGCACTTGAACCTCTGACCTCAAGCAATCCTTCTGCCTTGGCCTCCCAAAGTGCTGGAATTATAGTCATGAGCCACCACACCCAGCCCCTAAGTGGACATTTAATCCATGTACATTCAAGGTTATTATTGTCTATATTTGATATAATCAAATACTTGGTCATTTTTAAATTATTTTAATAGTTTCAAATATATTTGTTAAATTTGCTCTATTTGAATCAGGATCTAAAGAAGTTTCAAAGTTGCATCAGCTAATATATCTTTTTAGTTTTTAAAAATATATATGAATTCCTTTCTCCTGCTTTTTAGCTCTGTGTATTTGCTGAATAATCCAGGATACTCATCCTGTTGAATATTCCATACCTTGTGATTATCTTATTAAACCCTACGGTGTTCTTGCATGTTTCTCTCTTCGACATATTTCCTGTATATTGTCATAAAATAGAGAATATTTAACAATTAGGCTCATTTCTAGTTGGTTCTATGTGCTCCATATTATACTTTATGTGTATTCACTTCATGTGATATAAAAATTGATCAGTAGGTTCAGGTATTTTCAGCTGATTCATTCCATATATGTTTTCTTCTGAAACAGTTATTCGTCATTTTAGCTTCTATTGGTTGTTATCTTAGGCCCATTAATTCATTGGGTTCCAAATGAATTTGTCTGTATGTTAGTGTCCCATGAAACAATTCTTTTCTCCGATGTTTTATAACTTAATTAAAATGCCAGATCTTGATTTTTAGCAGTTGTAATTTTTTTCTGTTAATTTAATTACATTTTTATATTACATAAAACAGCTACAGGATTTCAAAGTCAAAAATATAAAATAAGATGTATTCAGAATAACTTTTATCCCTGTGCCTTGCCCTGTTTCCTCCTCCTGCCATAAGAAAATTATATATGTATTACGTTTTTGCCATTTTAAGTATGCTTATTTAAACATTTATAAAATATATACTTATATATGCATGTAAATCCAATGTATTTATCCCTGTTTTAACATAAAAATAGCATTCTGGTGTCACTTTTTTGTTTCTTTTCAGTTAAGGTATACCTTGTAGATTACTTTAGAGTAGTATTTGGAGATATTTCTCTCTCATTTTATAGTTGCTTCATACTCTATTGCGTACAAGTTTTGCAAGTAGTACTCACTAATTGTCATTTGGTTATTTTCCTTTTTTTTTTTTTTTTTTTTTGAGATGGAGTCTTGCTCTGTCATCCTGGCTGGAGTGCAGAGGCACGTTCTGGGCTCACTGAAACTTCTGCCTCCCAGGTTCAAGCGATCCTCCCACCTCAGCCTCTCAAGTAGCTGGAATTACAAGTGTGCACCACCACGCCCAGCTAATTTTTGTATTTTTGGTAGAGATGGGGTTTCGCCATGTTAGCCACGCTGGTCTTGAATTCCTGGCCTCAAGTGATCTGCCCGCCTCAGCCTCCCAAAATGCTGGGATCACAGGCATGAGCCACCACGCCCGGCCTACTTTCCGTTTACTATGAAAAACAATGCTTCAATGAATAGACTTGAGTGCATCAATTATTTTGTATTTTTGCCAATATATCTTTAGGATAGAAGTAGGATTGCTAGACCAAAAGTCAGTACCATGTAAATTTTTTAAGATATTGCCAAGAGTTGTACCATTTTGTATTCTCACCAACAATGCATAAGAGTGCCTCTCTCGGTGTTTTAGACATGAAGTCCTTGCCCATGCCTATGTCCTGAATGGTAAAGCCTAGGTTTTCTTCTAGGGTTTTTATGGTTTGAGGTCTAACGTTTAAGTCTTTAATCCATCTTGAATTGATTTTTGTATAAGGTGTAAGGAAGGGATCCAGTTTCAGCTTTCTACATATGGCTAGCCAGTTTTCCCAGCACCATTTATTAAATAGGGAATCCTTTCCCCATTGCTTGTTTTTCTCAGGTTTGTCAAAGATCAGATAGTTGTAGATATGCGGCATTATTTCTGAGGGCTCTGTTCTGTTCCATTGATCTATATCTCTGTTTTGGTACCAGTACCATGCTGTTTTGGTTACTGTAGCCTTGTCGTATAGTTTGAAGTCAGGTAGCGTGATGCCTCCAGCTTTGTTCTTTTGGCTTAGGATTGACTTGGCAATGCAGGCTCTTTTTTGGTTCCATATGAACTTTAAAGTAGTTTTTTCCAATTCTGTGAAGAAAGTCATTGGTAGCTTGATGGGGATGGCATTGAATCTGTAAATTACCTTGGGCAGTATGGCCATTTTCACGATATTGATTCTTCCTACCCATGAGCATGGAATGTTCTTCCATTTCTTTGTATCCTCTTTTATTTCCTTGAGCAGTGATTTGTAGTTCTCCTTGAAGAGGTCCTTCACGTCCCTTGTAAGTTGGATTCCTAGGTATTTTATTCTCTTTGAAACAATTGTGAATGGGAGTTCACTCATGGTTTGGCTCTCTGTTTGTCTGTTGTTGGTGTATAAGAATGCTTGTGATTTTTGTACATTGATTTTGTATCCTGAGACTTTGCTGAAGTTGCTTATCAGCTTAGGAAGATTTTGGGCTGAGACAATGGGGTTTTCTAGATATACAATCATGTCGTCTGCAAACAGGGACAATTTGACTTCCTCTTTTCCTAACTGAATACCCTTTATTTCCTTCTCCTGCCTAATTGCCCTGGCCAGAACTTCCAACACTATGTTGAATAGGAGTGGTGAGAGAGGGCATCCCTGTCTTGTGCCAGTTTTCAAAGGGAATGCTTCCAGTTTTTGCCCATTCAGTATGATATTGGCTGTGGGTTTGTCATAGATAGCTCTTATTATTTTGAAATACGTCCCATCAATACCTAATTTATTGAGAGTTTTTAGCATGAAGGGTTGTTGAATTTTGTCAAAGGCCTTTTCTGCATCTATTGAGATAATCATGTGGTTTTTGTCTTTGGCTCTGTTTATATGCTGGATTACATTTATTGATTTGCGTATATTGAACCAGCCTTGCATCCCAGGGATGAAGCCCACTTGATCTTGGTGGATAAGCTTTTTGATGTGCTGCTGGATTCGTTTTGCCAGTATTTTATTGAGGATTTTTGCATCAATGTTCATCAAGGATATTGGTCTAAAATTCTCTTTTTTTGTTGTGTCTCTGCCTGGCTTTGGTATCAGAATGATGCTGGCCTCATAAAATGAGTTAGGGAGGACTCCCTCTTTTTCTATTGATTGGAATAGTTTCAGAAGGAATGGTACCAGTTCCTCCTTGTACCTCTGGTAGAATTCGGCTGTGAATCCATCTGGTCCTGGACTCTTTTTGGTTGGTAAGCTATTGATTATTGCCACAATTTCAGCTTCTGTTATTGGTCTATTCAGAGATTCAACTTCTTCCTGGTTTAGGCTTGGGAGAGTGTATGTGTCCAGGAATTTATCCATTTCTTCTAGATTTTCTAGTTTATTTGCGTAGAGGTGTTTGTAGTATTCTCTGATGGTAGTTTGTATTTCTGTGGGATCGGTGGGACAAAAGCAATGGCAACAAAAGACAAAATTGACAAATGGGATCTAATTAAACTAAAGAGCTTCTGCACAGCAAAAGAAACTACCATCAGAGTGAACAGGCAACCCAGAAAATGGGAGAAAATTTTTGCAACCTACTCATCTGACAAAGGGCTAATATCCAGAATCTACAATGAACTCAAACAAATTTACAAGAAAAAAACAAACAACCCCATCAACAAGTGGGCGAAGGACATGAACAGACACTTCTCAAAAGAAGACATCTATGCAGCCAAAAAACACATGAAAAAATGCTCATCATCACTGGCCATCAGAGAAATGCAAATCAAAACCACAATGAGATATCATCTCACACCAGTTAGAATGGCAATCATTAAAAAGTCAGGAAACAACAGGTGCTGGAGAGGATGTGGAGAAATAGGAACACTTTTACACTGTTGGTGGGACTGTAAACTAGTTCAACCATTGTGGAAGTCAGTGTGGCGATTCCTCAGGGATCTCGAACTGGAAATACCATTTGACCCAGCCATCCCATTACTGGGTATATACCCAAAGGACTATAAATCATGCTGCTATAAAGACACATGCACACGTATGTTTATTGCGGCATTATTCACAATAGCAAAGACTTGGAACCAACCCAAATGTCCAACAATGATAGACTGGATTAAGAAAATGTGGCACATATACACCATGGAATACTATGCAGCCATAAAAAATGATGAGTTCATGTCCTTTGTAGGGACATGGATGAAACTGGAAATCATCATTCTCAGTAAACTATCGCAAGAACAAAAAACCAAACACCGCATATTCTCACTCATAGGTGGGAAGTGAACAATGAGATCACATGGACACAGGAAGGGGAATATCACACTCTGGGGACTGTTGTGGGGTGGGGGGAGGGGGGAGGGATAGCATTGGGAGATATACCTAATGCTAGATGACGAGTTAGTGGGTTCAGCGCACCAGCATGGCACATGTATACATATGTAACTAACCTGCACAAGGTGCACATGTACCCTAAAACTTAAAGTATAATTAAAAAAAAAAAAAAGGGTGCCTCTCTCTACAGCTTCATCAACAGGTTGGATTATCAAATATTGAGGTCAGATATTTGATATTTTATAGGTTAGAACTGATATTTAAGTATCATTTTACTTTGCATGCATCTTAATCTGAGAGACTTGAACATTTTTTTCATATATTTAAAGATAGTTTAACATGTGCTGGTGAGGCTACAGAGAATGGGGAACACTTCTACACTGCTGGTGGGAATGCAACTTAGTCCAGCCACTGTGGAGAACAGTCTGGGGATTTCTCAAAGAACTAAGAGTTAAACTACCACTCGATCCAGCAATTCCATCACCGCATATATGCCCAAAGGAAAATACATTGTTTTACCAAAAAGACACATGAACTTGTATGGGTTGTCCCAGTGCTATTCACAATAGCAAAGACATGGAATCCACCTGGGTGCCCAACAACTTTGGACTAGATAAAGTAAATGTGGTACAAATCCACCACAAAATATATGCAGCTAATAAGAAGAAAGTCACATCCTTTGCAGCAGCATGAATGCAGTTGGAGGCCATTATCCTAAGTGAATTAACACTGAAACAGAAAACCAAATACCACATGTTCTCACCTAACAAGGGGGAGCTAAACATCGAGTACACATGGACATAAAGATGAGAAAAACAGACACCACAGAGTAGCAGAGGGAGGATGGAGGAAGAGGGGAAAGAGTTGAAAAACTACATATTGGGTATTATTCTTGCTACCTGGGAGGTGGAATCATTTGTACTCCAAACCTTAGTATCATGCAATATACCTTTGTCTCAAACCTGCACATGTACCCTCTGAACCTATAATGAAATTAGAAAGAAAACCCCAAATATGGTCATTGTAGTCCAGAAGCTAAGATGTGGTATAACTGAATGGTTTATCAATTAGGAATGGATGTAAAAGTAACAATCTCTGTTCTTGATTTTAAGACCAGGTCTATGTGCCACATTTTATCTAGTCTAACATTGACGGGCATTTGGGTTGGTTCCAAGTCTTCCCTATTGTGAATAGTGCTGCAATAAACATACCTGTGCATGTGTCTTTGTAGTAGAATGACTTACAATCGTTTGGGTATATACCCAGTAATGGGATTGCTGGGTCAAATGGTATTTCTAGTTTTAGATCCTTGAGGAAACACCACACTGTCTTCCACAATGGTTGAACTAATGTACGCTCCCACCAACAGTGTAAAAGCATTCCTATTTCTCCACATCCTCTCCAGCATCTATTGTTTCCTGACTTTTTAATGATTGCCATTCTAACTGGTGTGAGATGGCATCTCATTGTGGTTTTGATTTGCATTTCTTGCAGCCATAAAAAAGAATGAGTTCATGTCCTTTGCAGGGACATGGATGAAGCTGGAAACCATCATTCTCCGCAAACTAACACAAGAACAGAAAACCAAACACCGCATGTTCTCACTCATAAATGGGAGTTGACCAATGAGAACATATGGGCACAGGGAAGGGAATATCACACACCAGGGCCTGTCGGGAGGTGGGAGGCAAGGAGAGGGATAACGTTAGGAGAAATACCTAATGTAGATGGTGAGTTGATGGGTGCAGCAAACAACCATGGCAGGTGTATACCTGTGTAACAAACCTGTACATTCTGCACATGTATCCCAGAACTTAAAGTATTAAAAAAGACCAGGCCTAATTCAGATAATATGTATGTATGTATGTATGTATATATGTGTGTATATATATATACACATATACACACATATATGTATATATATAAAAGAGTAACATATTTTACTACATAGATTCCAAACTTTTCTGCCTGCCTCCTTCCCAGGGGAGGGATGCCCATAACTTCTGGTCAAATTTCAGGAGAAATTCTGAATATACTGGTTTCTCCCATGGCGTTGTACACATTAATGCCCTTAGCAGTTAAATGAATTATGAATAAATTAGGGGTAAATTTTACAAATAAATGAAAAATAAAAGTTTTCTGCCTACAACTGTAAAAAAAAAAAAAAAGACTGATTCTCCTTATGTATGAACTGTAAGTTTAACTGTTTTGCCCATTTTCCTATTAATATTTTGGGTTTTGTTTTAGAAGTTCCCTATGTGTTAGAAGTACTAGTCTATTATGTGAGTTACAAGTAGTTTCTTCTCACTTTTAAATTTTCTCATAGTTTTATTACGCATTAAAAATTAATTTGATAGTCAATGTTATCCATCTTTACCATATTCATAGATTATAAAAACATTAACTTGTTTTCTTTTAATATTTGCATAGTTTTTTTGAAAAAAGAGTTATGTCTTGAATTCACTTAGAGATTGTCCTGGCATTTGGTGTAGCAAATAAATTAAATATATCTTTTCCCATATTGCTATCCAATTATCCCACCATCACATTAGTAGGCCTTTCCCCCCTGCACTGATTTGAGATACTGTCATTATTATTTACTACTTTTATTATGTGTTTTTAATCTGCTTATAAATTTTCTATTCTACTTTTCCTAAGATAAACATAATTTTGACCCTCTTATCATCTGACTCTCCTTATCTATTAATTCAAGTCACATTTTGACAAACTAGATTCCTTTTTTCTTAGAATATTTAGTGTTCAATTTTATTCTGGCTCAGTGATTCTCCCTGGAAAGAGAAGATATTTGTCAGAATCATTTGTTAAGGTTTTTTTTTTTCAATTTATATTTTCCTTCTATCTTAAATTTTCATCATGCCTTTCTAGGGTGGTAAGGTGGAAGTATATGAGTACACACTTGCACACAAATATACACACTTCCACTCACAAGTACAGTATCCCAAATGAGCATCTGTTAAGATTGGGATGTGTCATATTTCACAAGAATGTTGGGAAAAAGTAAAGTTTGAAACTTTTGGCTTTGTTAATATATAGGATTTTAATAGTATCTAATGTTTATTCATGCTTAATATGTCTCGAAGTGGGCTATTTGATTTATATCTATTTTGTCATTTTCCTTCATAATAACCATGCATAATAGGTATAATCTCCTGTTTATAAATGTAGAAACTAAAGCTCATGAAAGCTACGTAATGTGCCCAAAATCATGATTAATAAGAGTCAGTAGAGTTGAATCCAGCTCTTTGTTTTTTACTTTAAAGCCTGTGCTTTTAAACATTAACCATGGAAAATGACATAGATGGATCCAAGTAATATACTTTGTGCCAACGTGATGAGAGCCTGGATCCCTCTAAATTCTTTCTACTGCTTATGAGCAGTTATACCACAGACGTCTAGGACCTAGAAGGCACATTTCACATTGGCAAACTTACTCTTCCACTCACTCCTGATAATGCCCTCATGGATTCTGGGTTGTTATAGTGGTGGGAGGTGAAGTATAAACTTATAATGGGAGGCGTTTGTTTTTCAACCTCTTAAAAGTTGACATATATCTCCTTACCACTAAGCATATATTTTTTAAATTAAGATGTGACAGTTCTTTTTTTATGTTTTTCACAAAATGGACCAAATAAATTTTTTTTTAAATTTATAAGCTAGGCTATATTTTCTCTCCTTTCTTCTACTAAACTTAGGGTCACACAGGAAGGAACAGGTGTACACAAATACTAATATATTTATGCCTTTCTTTGTTCTAAGAATTAGCAAAAGAATATTTTGAAAGCATAATAACTTTGTATCTGTATTCCAAAATATAACACACAAGTTGTTGAAAGATAAATTGAGGCAATGTATGTGGAAGTTCCTAGACAATTACTAAATTATATGGGAATGGAGGGCACAATTTTCATGAGCTTTACTAAATAACTTACCAACTTCACTATATTTTGTGTCATTATCTGAGATTAATCTCACAGTTATATAAGATCTAAAACTTTACACTAGAATGTGCATCCCATTTTCTCAGCTGTCTTATTGCCGTCTTCATGTCTTTGTTCCTCAGTGTGTATATAATTGGGTTCAAGAGAGGGGTGATCACAGAATAAAATACAGCAAGGAATTTATCTAATGACTTGATGGGGAATGGCCAGGCATAAATAAAGACACATGGTCCAAAGAACAAAAGAACTACTGTAATGTGAGCAGTCAAAGTGGACAGAGCTTTGGACGACTTATCTAAAGGGCGATGCTGGATGGTCATTAGGATGATAGTGTATGAGATGATTAGAAGAACAAAAGAACACACAGTGAGCACACCACTGTTAGCAATGACCATAATATCTAGCCTGTAGGTATCTGTACAGGCAAGTTTGATTACCCTAGGAAGGTCACAATAAAAACTATCGACCTCATTGGGACCACAGAAGAGTAAGTGCACGGCAAACGCCAACTGGCTCACCGAATGGAGAAAGCCAATTCCCCATGTGACAGCCATAATGCCGACACATGCGTTGCCACACATAATTGTAGTGTAGTGTAGGGGCTTGCATATTGCTATATATCTGTCAAAGCCCATGGCTATGAGGATCACCATCTCACTCCCACCAAAGAAGTGAAGGAGAAATATCTGAACAAGGCAGCCCTTGAAAGAGATGACTTTGCGCTGGCTGAAAAAGTCAGTAATCATCTTGGGGGCTGTGACTGAAGACAGAGACAGATCAATGAGTGAGAGGTTGGCTAGCAGGAAGTACATGGGAGAGTGAAGGTGGGAGTCAGATACCACTGTTATGACAATAAGAAGGTTTCCAAACACGATTCCTCCATAGAATACAAAAAACAACATAAATAGGAAGGTCTGGAGTTCCTGAGAATCAGAGAGACCCAGAAAAATGAATTCAGTCACCATAGAGTTATTCGTTTCACTCGTTGATTCATTCCAGGAAATAGCCTCTGCAGTTACCTTGAAGAAGAGAAGGAGAAGGAAGTCAGAATTATTATATTCAAATTCAAAGCCTCATTTTATATCATTCTGCTCACTCTTACAGTGACTTTCTATAATCTATTACTTAAAGACATTCAGAATTCAACAAGATCATAATTCTATCTCGCACTACTTCCCTGGCTATGCCTTATAATTCAGTTATCTCGGCTTCTCAGTGTCTCCATTAATGTTAGGTTTATTCCTAATATAAAATACCATTATTTATGCTTGTCTCTCTGCCAGATTAAGTCTATGCCATAACTCTATGTTTATCTCCTTTTTCTTTGAACTACAAAACAGTTTGTAGCACACATGTTATTTGGTGATATTAAAGTTCTTAAGAGAAAAAAATAGGCCAAAATGAAATGAAAGATAAAAAATAGAAAAAAAGAAAAAATAATATCACAAATATAATACTTAAAAATTAACAGAGGATAAAAGAATAGGGAATTCAAAAGTGAAGTGAGAAAAAGTGAGGAAAATGCAATAAAGTTTAAATGAGAGAAAGTGTGAAGGACTTTCATAGGAGATAAAACTGGTAAGAGATTTTGGAATGCTTTCTAAAGCATTTCTGTTTTATTATAGAGACAAGAACTACTGAAAAATTTTGAATGATTGTTTAATTTAGCTCTGGACTCAATGTGAATTGGAAGGGAGGGAGCTTGGAAATGAAGCCAAGTAATTATTTTAAGCCTAACAATAGGTAATAGCTGCAGGTTGTGGTTGTGTGAGCAGGAAAGGGGTGAATGAAGACCTGTAAGATCCCATCGAGCAACGTATTAAAGTAGTTAAGATATGAGCTTGTGTGCTAGGAGGCCTGTGTTCAAATCCTGGGTTATCTACTATGTATCTGAATGACCTTAGACAAGTCACCTAAGTGATTTCAGTCTTACGGCCACATCTGGAAAATATAGGTGATAATAGCACAACTTTATAGAAGTTCTGTGAGGATTGGATACGACCAGGTATATAAATTTTCTAGCAAATAGTAATGGTCAATATATAATAGCCATTATTAAGGTACTGATAACAAAATATTTTTTGGCAAGATGTGGAAAATAAAAAAAATGTTATTCCAATGTCTTTAAGTAATTGGGAACATTGTGATGGCTTTAACTCTGATAATAATTATAACAAGCACTAGTATAACAATACTTTACATAGAGATCCCTTTTAGGAGCAGAAATAAATACAGAAAAAGGTAAAGGATAATGATGACTGTCTAGACACAAGGAGGTATTGTTGGGGCATCTTTGTAAGTTGCTATCTGCCAGGTGAGAGACTGAACACTGACTTCTGGGCATGAGTTGAGAGCCATTTCAATTGTGTATGGAGGAGAGAAAATAAGTACTGTTTCAAGAAGTTTTGCAGTGAAGAGAAGTAACAAATAAAAGGTGTCCTGAAAGTGAGACATAGCCATATTAACAATCTTTGGATTAGGTATAAGAGTTAATGGGCAAGTAAGATGTAAAAGAGAGAAGTGGAAATTGATCACTAACATTCCACGGGAGACATGAAGGTATAGAGTTTACACTTGCCATCTTTTTTGGAGGAATACTGTTATTTGATTTTTGCTGTTTTTTAAAGAACAGTAATTCATAGTGCTTGGAAATTCCACTTTTCTCTTTACTACTCTGAATCCCATTTCTTAGTCCTACACACTCAAAGCAGCACATTACTGTTTTTAAAGTCCTATAAAAATTTAGTGATCTTAAATATTTTTAAGAATAAAGAGAAGTCTAATAGTGGAATAAATCATGAACATTCACTTCATTTCTCTTCTGCTTAGCACGGTAATAAATATAATCATACTAATCATTGACAGTACAAACGATAGGATTTTTATTGTGAGATAATTTCTGTCCTGACTGGTTGGTTGGACTGTTTCTTTTGAATCAAAGTGTGCAATTTAGAATAGACCTTAAATATGCATTGACATAAAATTAATTCATTTCATTGATAGGCAAGGACAATCTTGAAGTTATATCTTCACATGAAATATGCCAAGGATGAGGTTGACCCGAGGGTTCTCATCTGTAGCAAAAGACTTTCTATCATGGCTGTTAGTAAGAATTCAGGAATGCTATTCTTTAGCAAAAGGAATTTCTTGCTAACGTAGTTAAGACATCTCTCTCCTGAATTTGTGCTGCTGAGGGGATCCTTCACCACCATAATTCTTTCAAAGCTCATTTCTGACTTTTTAAAAATTATTCAAAAAAAATTAGAAGAATTGTATTTATTCTAAGTTGAACATTAAGTTTAGGCTTATTAAAGGAGTCCTTCAGAATCTTACACACTCATTGTAGCAACCATGAAGAGCCAGCCACTGTTGACAGGTAAAATCTTTCATGCCATAGATTATTCTTGGAATTCAACCATTAGAATTATATATAATATATATATTTATATAATATATAAATATATTTATATAATATATATTATACATATTTTATATAATAATATATGTTATATATAAATATAATATATATTATATAATATATATTATATAATAAAATATATATTATATTCTATAAATATATAATATATATTATATAATAAAATATATATTATATAATATAATATATATTTATATAATAAAATATATTATATTATATAATATATATTATATTATATAATTTATATATTATATTTATATAATATATATTATATTATATAATAAAATATATATTATATTTATATAATTTATATTATATTTATATTATATATTATATAATATAATTTATATTATATTTATATTATATATTATATAATATAATATATATTATATAATATATATTATATATATAATATGTAATATATATAAATATATAGTATATATAATATATATATATATAAATGCCTTATGTCCTTATAGTAAGTCTCAGTGAGATGGGAGTAGGCATTTGGGTTCTGGCACAAATTCACAGTGTGATCATGGGAATATCATTTAAAAATCTCTGGGCCTTAGCTTTCCTGTTTTTAAAATGAGTTTATTCTTTCAAAAGCTGTAAAAATCCTCACAACTCTAGCAGTATGATTTGTACCTTTATGTGAAAGAAATGCTCCAAACCAAGTTTCACTGGTATTATAAAAAGGAGGGAAGGAGGTGGGTAAGAAAACACCGGACCTGGGGAAAGATGGGGAAAAGGACTATTAAATGGGGAGAAAAGAACAAATTAGCCCAGAAGAGTGAGGAGGAGGACTCGACAATTGTTGCCAGCATAATACTTATAACAAGGGTTATTCTTGCTAACATTATTCATATTAATTTCTCTAAGTATTTAAGTTAACCATACAGAATCCTTTCATTTTTCCAGAAGGTAAACACAAAATGGAATTATGCAGAATAGATTCCTACTAATAGAACCATCTCATTGTCAATAAAATGCTACAATTTCATTCATTCTTCTAATATATGTGTTTTGTCTTTGTTTCCACCTACCTTCTTCATAACTGGAAGAGACTACAGCAATTTTCACAGAATGAGGCATAAAAACTGTAAGAGAATAATATGTAGTGAATTGTCCTTTTTAGTAAACCACTTGGTTAATTAAAAGCCCTTTATGAATGGACTAGATGTACCTGAAGAGATCTGGGAATAGCCAGTCTGAGCTTTGTGTACTGAGACTAACTTTTATAGTCTCACAAGTTTTCCCTTGGCCATTAGAGAAAACACACAGAATTTTCCTGAGTGAGAGGACATTGCCACAATTTTTTGGCCTATTTGGATATTTTTGCTATCTCACTGAGTCTAAAGGTGCTTTTTAAAGAATCACAGCAAAACAAATATAATAAAGTTACAAAATTAAAATCCAGATAGGTTAACAAGAGAGTAAGTAATAATGCTTCGATTTTATAAAAAGAGGAATGCTTAGAACTTTTATGACCAACTTGCGGAGAAAATATAGAAAAATTGCTTTAACCAATAAAAAACCTCACTTCTTGTAACTTATTTTATTTTGCATCTTTAATTACCATGCAGTAGTTAAAAGTGAGCTGAGTGAGTCACCACAATTTATGTTTCTTAAAATAGTCATAGGAATACATCCAAGTGATGTCTCAGTTGTGTTCCTTGACCACCAAACTTACCAGGTTTTACCTGAAAGATGTCAATCGCCTTCTTTGTCCTAAGCACCTTAAGTTAAGCACAGGCACATTAAATGTGCTTTTAAGATCTCAATGGGGTCTCTTCTCCAGGAAATAAATCTCTTCCTATACTTTTAGGTTGTAGATGCTTTTTAAGAGTGACTCGAGAAATGCTTTGAAGAAGATTTCAAGGGCAATAGGATTGTGTTGTTAAAAAAGTGTAACATAGACAAATTTTGCATAATACAGAGTACTAGAGTCTATTTTTTTTTATTATACTTTAAGTTCTAGGGTACATGTGCACAATGTGCAGGTTAGTTACATATGTATACATGTGCCATGTGGGTGTGCTGCACCCATTAACTCGTCATTTAACACTAGTTATATCTCCTAATGCTATCCCTCCCCCTTCCCCCCACCCCACAACAGGCCCCGGTGTGTGATGTTCCCCTTCCTGTGTCCATGTGTTCTCATTGTTCAATTCCCACCTATAAGTGAGAACATTGTACAAAACATATTGACAATCAGCCTGAAAATAATACTTAAGGGTTGTAACAAGCTGTTGACCTTACCATTTATCTAACTTAAAGTACAATTAAAATAAAAATTGTTTCTTCCTTGATTTTGGCATTTACTAATTTATATAAACTCATATTTTATCCATTGGATCCACATAATTTCCATAAGAAAATTAATTTCCAGTGATGCTTATTATCAGCATAAAAATACTGATAAATAAACCTAGGTCATATATATGTGTATGTGCTTATATACAGATATAAAATAACTACATCAAAATTAAAGGTAGTCATTGCTGTTAATTAGATACACACATTAGATAGAAATATATACTTTTTATGATTAACAAAAAATGTTGCAACTTTATCTGAAATACAATTCTTAGATTTAATGCATCCTTTTTGCAGATTTTTCAGTTTTTTCAGGCAATACTAAAAATGTGCGCGTTCCATAGTGATCATGGTGATCACAGGAGTCTTGATGGTCCATGGCATTTATCCTGTGCTCTCATCAACCAAATGTGTTATGTCGTCTCCATAGAATTTAAAATATGTTGATTCAGCCTTCTCATTGCAAACTTCATATCTTTGTTCCTTAAAGTATAGATGGCAGGATTTACGACAGGGGTGACAACAAAGTTCATGATGGCAAAAAATTTATCCAATGACTTAGTAGGGAAAGGCCACACGTAGAGAAACATGCATGGAGCAAAAAACAAAACCACTACGGTGATGTGAGCCGACGAAGTGAAGAATGCTTTGGATAAATCATTTGAGGAATGTCGTTGGACAGTGACCAGAATAAAAATGTATGATACAATTAAGAAAAAGAAGGTGCCCATCGATATGAATCCACTGTTGGCAGTGACCACAAATTCTAGCCCATAAGTGTCCATGCATGCAAGTTTAATAACCCGAGGAAAATCACAATAAAAGCTCCCCACATTATTAGGGCCACAGAAGGGTAAATTTATGACAAAAACAAACTGAGACATAGCATGAATCACCCCAATGACCCAAGCTGCTGCTACCAAAAACATGCACATTTTGGGATTCATAATAGTTGGATAGTGGAGAGGCTTGCAGATCGCAGTGTACCTATCATATGCCATGACTATCAGCAGCACCATTTCAACTCCTCCCATAACATGGATAAAGAACTTTTGTATCATGCAATTATGGAAGGAAATAACTTTACAATCAGTAAAAAGATCGTAGATCAACCTAGGAACTGTGGTAGATGAAAGGCTCAAGTCAATGAGCGATAGGTTGGCCAGCAGAATATACATGGGGGAGTGTAAGTGAGGATCAAAGATCACTGTGAACACAATGAAGAGTTTTCCCAGGATAATTCCCACATAGAATAAAGAGAAGAAGAGAAAAAGGAAAAACTGCATTTCCAAGGATTGTGCAAGTCCAAGTAATACAAATTCTGTTACCAGAGAGTCATTTACTTGGTCCACTGAATCAGATAGAAGGGAAGACTCTGAAGCAACCTGAAAGAAACGAAGGAATCAACTTAGTGTGACTGAAAATAATGCGTTAAGTGTTAATGATTTAAAATTTATTATTAACAAATCTTTTATTTGATAGTAGATTATTTAAAAACTAGTGGGAACCCAGGGTATAAAAGGTTAATGTAATATGGACAAAGCTGTGCTCAGAGGCAGTCTATTGCTTTAAATGTTCTCAATTGCTCAAATACATGAACTTATTAGCATCTTAAGAAACTGGAAAAGAATGCATAAAAACTCAAAAAATTCAAGCCAAAAAAGGTAAAAAACAAAAATAAGGAAATATGAAATCCCAGAAAATGGCAAGATTGTATACCAACATATACAAATAAATGGTTTAAAAAATACAGAATCTTTAAAAATGCAATCAATAATAACATTAAATAAAAATTAGAATACAAATGCATAATTACGGTTAAGGCATCTCTGAAAGCTGTTTCCTACATGTGCCTATAATGATCTACCCCAAACCAACACGTGAATCATACTTGAATTTGAAATGCTGTAGAGACAAAAGGTTGATATCTTCATAGTATAAAAAAGAATTTAAACAGTTTCACAAAATCTCCAAGACCTAATAAATGAACAAATGAAATGAAGAATTAAAATGTAAGCTATACGTGTATTTGTATATACAGATATGTGTGTGTGTGTGTGTATGTGTGTCTTAGAAATCAAAGAAATATGATAAAATATAATACTATTATTTTTCTGTTAAATTAGGAAAAAGTTTTACAGGCCGGGCATGGTTGTTCACGCCTGTTATCCCAGCACTTTGGGAGGCCGAGGAGGGTGGATCACGAGGTCAAGAGATCGAGACCATCCTGTCCAACATGGGGAAACTCCATCTCTACTAAAAATAACAAAAATTAGCTGGGCATGGTGGTGCATGCCTGTAGTCCCAGCTACTTGGGAGGCTGAGGCAGGAGAATAGCTTGACCCCGGGAGGCGGAGGTTGCAGTGAGCCGAGATTGCGCCACTGCACTTCAGCCTGGCGACAGAGGGAGACTCTGTCTCAAAAAAAAAGAAAAAAAAGTTTTACAATTATTATTACCCAAACTGGCTAAGGATCAGAGAAATTGGCACTTTTATACGCTGCTGGAGGGAATATAGACTGATTCAAACCTTAAAGAAAATATTTTGAAATCATGTATCAAGAATTTTAAGTCCATGCCTTTTGGTGCAATAATACTCTTGGAATTCTATTTTTACAGAAGTTTTCAGCATAAAAATATTCATCATACTTTGTTGACAGTGATAAAATCTTGAAACGATTTAAATACCAAACATTAGGTTTAAGTATAGTGTATGTACATGACGGACTGTAATAACAGTTATTAAAATAAATATCAATAGAAGCATTTATAATAACAATGGAAAGACTTTTCTTAAAAATACCAAGAGTAATAATGGTAAACAAATTGCATAGTACAACATGTTAATTAACAGTAGTTGTTTTTGATTTTTAAAAGAGCTTTACAAAGCTCTAAAGCTCTCTTTCTAGATTTTGAAATATCTTTTTGTATACATATTATATTTTTTTTTTTACAAAACATCAAATGGCATAGAAAGTTGAAGGAATAAATGGTTTATTAAGAATTTTGAAAATAGGATTGACTCATAGGAGACTAAACCAACTAAAGAAATGAAGAACTCTACTACTTCCCTCATTTAATCAATCATTTTTATAATGACTAGAATTTTTTCATAGATGGGATTCTCAAGGAGGTATAGTTAAGTAAGTGAAGGGTCTTGATTAAACGTCTTGAACTTTGCATAATGCTACCATGAAATGGAAACCTTTTGAGACATTCCATCCAGGCAGTTGACAAAGCATCTTGCCTGCCTCACTTTGACCAGAGCTGGCCATACTGAACGAATTCTGGTAATCATTAAATAATTATAAGAAAAATTAATGCTCAGGTGCTCTCATCAAGTTCAGAGTGAGTGAGGTTAGTAATGATGAAGTGGGAAATATTAAGAGATACACAATAAATGGTCAAAGAAATGCAATATAGTACAATGGGATAAGAAGAGATAATATTTTGGGAAGAATACAGCAGATGGAGACAAATAGATTTGATTTCTATCTCCACAATATGCATGTATTTTTTTAAACTCTCAGTGAATTTGTGCATGGCTTTCTACCTTCTCTCATCTAGATATTCTCCGAAATGCTCTTTCCAGCATTTTCTGAATGAAATACATATGGATGGTCCCTGGCTTGTGATAGTTTGACTTATAATTGTTTGACTTTACAATGGTGAGAAAGTGACATGCATTCAGAAGAAACTGTACTTGAGTATAGTAGTCAGTATATTACGTGAGCTATTCAATATTTTATTATAAAATAGGCTTTGTATTAGGTGATCTTATATAAGCTAATGAAAGTGTTCTGAGCACATTTAAGGTAGGCTAGGCCAAACTATGATGTGAGGTACATTAGGAATATTAAATGCATTTTTGACTTATGATGGATTTATCAGGACGTAACCCTATTATAAGTCAGAGAGCATCTGTACATTTTTAACTATGTTTTACTATTTTCACTTCATTCATAGTGCTATCCCTGGACTTCTTACCCATATTTAGATCACCCAGATCATAGGGGCTTAAGAACAAAGAATTTTGGGAGAGGAATTGAACCCGGGAAACATTATAGAGTAAATAAGATTATCCCTGGGAGGTTTCATGGAAATGTCCTTTATGCTGCTGAGCAGAAGGTGTTTGGTGACTTACTAAGCTCAACACCAATTCATAAATAGTTATTTATAAAGAAATGAAGTTGAAGCTGAAGAATCATGTTTACTGCTTAGGATCAAGTGTTTTATCCTGTTAAAACTAAGATACAATATATAAACCAAGCACTCTAGGACTCTCATCATGAAAGTGATATTTCATCTTATAAGAGCAATTCCAAAACAAAAGCAATTAATGTCTGAATTACTTTGTCATATTTGGAGATTCCTATTACTACTGAAATTCATATTGCTACTGAAATGGTGTTTGTCTTGGAGTGTGAGTGATAATTAATTTTCTTAAAGAGGAAAATCCCAAACTACATGAACCTATTAGTCTAAAGACTGAAAAATTCTCTTTATAACATGAACATTTGCCATTTTAAAATAAAACAATCGCAATCCAAAATATGAAACTATGGGCGTTCAATATCAGTGTGAAGGAGGCAGAGTCCATAGAATGTTTAAAGAGAGTAAAAAGGAAAGGGAAGAACAAAGATGAATTGGAAAGAAATTTGGAGAATAAAAGAAGGGTCAGGGGAAGGAATAAGAAAGAATCCTAAAGAAAAAACAGGATAAAATGATGATCAAAAGAAGCATTGGTGGAACATGGTACATCTTTACTTAGGTTACCTTCAGGCTTAAAGCAATATACATTGATACATTATGAACACCTGAGAGAGTAGATTTTACTTGAGTTTTCATACACTGTTTATGTATATTGTCACTGCAAACATGGAAAGTAAAAGAAAAGCTGTAGGAAATAGTCACTGATATGTGGAGAAAAGTTAAGAGTTTAAGCTTGTGAGTGAATAGGTGTGATAATGAGGTATGGTGGGATTGAATGTATAGTTGGATATCACTGGCAGTGGTTCAGCTAACCGACAGGTGAGTTCTCTTCTAAAAGAATTAGGGAATAAGTGATCAAAATATGCTTTAGCCTCCAGGCAGTATTTTACTTATTCTAATATTTGTAGCTTTTCATAAATGTAAAATTAAAGTCCATGAGTGCAGGGAAACTTTTTGCATTGTTCAGTGCATAATTACTTGCCTAAAACAGTGCCTGTCTCATAGAAAAAGCTCAAGAAATACTTGATGAATGAACTTTTTAAAAACAGCATAATAAATTGTCAATATGAGAAATAAAATATTAGCCCCCACAAAAATAGAGAGAAATTGCATTTTAAAGTACTCCTTCACAAGCTTGTACTTGTTGATGAAAACTCAGTTGCATAAAAAAGGGAGTATTTAAATAAGTGAAGAAAGTCCTACCCATTCTGTTACAAACATTTGGAATTATTACATTTTATTGTTGAAGAAATCCTGATGACCCAAAGGAGCTTGTCTGGAGGAAAAGACCATGTGTTTGATTTCTCTGCCTTCTTAGGAAACACTGATGACTTTGGAAAGCTTCTAGGAGTTCTTCAGAAGCCAAGTTTCCATAGAGTTTGTCATCTTTCCTATTGGAGATTTAAAATTTGTCAGTCATTTAGGGTCTGGGACACATATCTTCAAACAGGAAATGCAGACTTATATTAAACAAAAAGGATGTTCAGAATTATAGTTTTGTATAGAAGTGGGAAAGAACTTTGAGATTCTACAGGTAGAATGAGAAACAACACAGTGTGGTTAAATGGCTAACAATACATTCAAGAAGTCAGAATCAGAAGGCAGACCTCCTAAATTCCAGTTTAATGATCTTTCTCAATAGCGGTCTATGCTTTCTTAGTAGAAACAGTCTTTAAAAAAATCTAGAAGCATATATGTTTGACAGGATCACTCTAACCTATTGGAAGAACCCTCTTATTCCTTGAGTTCTTATTTTGTTTAAAATAAAATTAGCATTCACTTCCTAAAATATTATTTCTTCTTTTTCACTGGGCATTGCTCTTCCCAATTCCCTTTCTTATTTCTTCAACCTGGAACAGTTCCATTTCAGAATTCATAGTCATCAGCTCCTCTGTACCCTCCCCTGGGATGAGGCCAAATCTTTCTGAATCTGAGATAGCCTCTCAGCCTATGCATTGGCTGGAGTGTTCCAATGTGGAGGAAGGTAATACCAAAAGAGAGAGAATCACACCAGACTGTGGGAGGTAAAGACTTGAGATTCCCTTCCTCTGGTTTAAAACTAAATCTGGTTTTCAAATAGGATGGAAATAGCTGAGATCAGACATCTCCTTTTCAGAGTGGAAAATGAAGTTTATAATTAATTGGAGAGCATGAAAGTTAGAAAACTACACATCTTTAAAGAACTTCATACTAGGGACAAACTGAAATTATCATAGGGGTTTATATGTGGGATTAGTTTTATAAGACATAATATAATTTAATGATTAAAATTGGAAAATAAGAGATAGTGTGGAAGAAAAAGATAAAATATTTCAGAAAGCAGAAGATTTTGGGCACAAATATGTTACAGAAGAGAAGAAATTGAAAGGGAGTTTAGAAGGATAGAGAGAAGCAACCACGACAGGGAAAGTTTTGTAATTAAAAGCATCTCTTTTACCTGTCTTTTCAGTCATAGGATGTGCATTTTTAGGAGAAGGAGAAATTCAGATAGCTTAATCTTCATTTATGTAATACCCCAAAGACAAAGCTATATATAAGATTCTTCATATTGGAAAGGAAGCTAATTAGCTGCACAGGAGAGGGACCCACTGATGCTGCTGAGACAGACAATACCCAGCCCATTATTAGTTTCTCTTGGGGACTAGATCTCTGAGTCACACAATTTCCCCTTGACAAAAGTATCAAAAGAATTGCCTGCTGATGAAATAGGGGGAGGGAAGGAAGGATTTGAGGTACTACATTGGCTAGTAAAAAAGAATCCCCATTTAGCATGGGTAATCTTAGTGTGTGAATTGTTCGGAATGACTGAGATGAGGGAGTGAAAATATATTCAGGGTGGACAGAGATACCTTCACTTATGGCACCATGAATGAAATTTGAAGAAATAAATATAAAACATCTGATCTTTAAATACAATGCCTGTAATTGATAACAGGTGAATAAATGGATCCTTCTCCTGTTATCAGTTATAGCAAATGTTTACCTCTGGATGCCAACCTGTGCTCCCAAAGTTTAGTGTGTTGGGGCTGAAGGTTTCTTTGAAAGTTTTTGACCTTTATCCTTCCTGAATTGACTGGCTACAATTAAAATTTGTATTTTTTTTGGATCAGTTTTTTCAGAGGTATTGGAAAAACATATACAAATATAAAAGAAAAAATAGAATCATTCTGAGTTTCTGTAACAAGAGTGTGTTTCCATGAGGGTGAGGTAATCATTCACAAAAGGACCTGTATTGAGCCATTGAGACAAGCCTAGTGGATACCCCTGGAGAAGCTTGGCTTTATTATTGATATAAAGACACAGAAAAATCTAATCTCCAGGTTATCATGGTGGCCTGAAAGTGCAAAGGCTCCACCTTGGTTTACAGTGGCATTTGTTTAGAGCTGTATTTCATTTTCTCTTGTTCAGAAATGAGGAAAATGATTTTCTCTAGAACAGCAGCAGAATAAGAAGTGTTGGTTGATCCCAAATTAATTTTTGAAAAATAGTAACATTCCAAAAATACGTAAGCAAGATAAAAACTGCAGAATAATGTGGGCAGAAATATTTTTTAAAATTAGGATACACAGTCAGTTACATGGATTATTGTCTACCTAAGATGAGGTGAAACAGTGTAGGTGCTTAGGGAAACCACAACTACAGTGACGTGAGAGGAAAATCTGTTCTATTGCCCCCACAGAGGTCTCTTCTGCAACACAATGAGCAGTACATAAGTCATTCTGATGTGCCAATGTGCTCCTGTCCTGTGTGCCATTGTTCTAAGTGGGAAACTGGGGTAGCAGGCCGAACAGCGTATTGAAATGAATGAGGGAGAATCTAGGCAGAAATAAGTTGCAGGGAGTTGGCCAGCCAGATACAGAACATGTTGTGATTTGAAGGCTGTTTCCTGAGGCATGAATCATGGGTTTTCTAGGCAGCAAAAGGCTTTTGGGCTAACAGAGAAGCTGGAGTTGTTAATGAAGAGTTCATGAGACCTAGTAGTACAAGAGAGGACTGAGAGTGATAATTTACAGGCTTCTTCACCTGAGATTGGCTCAAGATTGGAATTGGCTTAAGCTGCAAAAGGAATTCATTAGTGGATTTCACCCCAGAGACTTGAGGTGATGCAGGCAGAAGAAATTAATTGAGAATAGAAAAGGAGATTAAAAAGGAAGTTCTTTAGTCATATGACCTGTGATTGAACGTAAGAAGAAAGCTGAAGCATCGTTCAATACATTAGTCATGTTGCAATAGTTTTACTGTTTGCTATATTTATGATGTGATAGAGGTGAACACGACAAAGTCCTGCTCATGTTGAACTTAAAATGCAATGAGGAAGACATCACTGAATGAAAAATTTTGAGGGCTGTTAGTCTTACAAAAGAGGTAATAGGTAGTGCTAGAGGAATATACAATGGAAGGAACTCTTCTGGACTCAGGTTCTGGGAGGCCTCCCTGGTAAAATGATGAAACTGAAAGCTGAGATGTTAAGAGGCAAAACATGAAGGACAAATATTGTATACAAAATGATTAGCTAGTGGAAAGCCCCAGAGTTGATAGATTTTGGAGTTTCCAGGCAAGTAAAAGAAAACCAAATTGGATCTGGAGTTGCAGGGAAAGAGTATGTTATTCTCTGAGACTGAAAAAAAGGAAGGAAGCCAGGTCTTGGATGGCCTACTATACCATGATAACATACCAGTTTAAGGGCACAGAAGCAAGTGAAGTGTCTTCAGCAAAAGAATTACATACTTAGATTAAAAATTTTTTTTCTTTTACTGAAGCGTAAATAGTAGGATTTTAAGTGGGAAGGTCGCATAGGTGACTATATTCTCTTCCAAAAATGACATAGGTAGGCTTAGACAGGAATAGTGGTGTTACAGATGAAAATAAAGGAACATATGTAAGGCTCTTTGGAAGGTAGAATAAGACTTGATGATTTATTGATTTGGGGGTACTATGGAGAAAGAAATCTATTATTTTTCCCAGATTTTGGGTTGTGCAACTAGGTAACTAGTTGGTACAAATTATTGTGACTGAGAACACTGAAAGAAGAGTAGGTTTGAAAAGAGGAAGGCTAGTTTAGTTGCAGACTTGTTGAGTGGAAGATCTTGTGTGGCATCCAGGAAAGTAGGAGGTTAGATCTGTGGATCAGGAACTCAAGAAATAGTACCAGGGTCAGGTGCAATGGCTTGTCCCTGTATTCTCAGCTACTTGGGAGGCTGAAGCAGACAGATTGCTTGAGGTCAGGAGTTTGAGACCAGCCTCAGCAACATAGTGAGACCCTGCCCCTTAAAAAAGAAAGAAAGAATGAAAGAAAGAAAAGGAAAGAAAAGGAGGAAGAAAGAAAGAAAGAAAGAAAGAAAGAAAGAAAGAAAGAAAGAAAGAAAGAAAGAAAGAAAAATACAAGGTTTGAGAGCCCCTAGTGTTTAGATGGTGATTAAAGCTGTGGGAATGGGTGATACGTAGGGATAGAATCTAAGTGAAAACAGGCCAAAGATCAAATTAGGGGCAATAGGTTGATTGGTAGTTAAGCAGATGAGGAACACTCAACAAAAGACACAGGGAAGGACTTGCCCAGGAGGTAGGAGAAAAAGCCAGGAAGCTGTGGTGTTCCAGAAGCCCGGTAGAGTATTTGAAGATGGGGGAGATTAGCAGCAATTAAGAGAAGAAATTCCCATTCATATGAGTGATAAAGCAATTAAGTAGAATAACTTAGGAAGGTTCTTGGAGAATCACAGGACAAAATAGCATAGGTACGGTTTCTCTTAATTGAGCTGTTATAATTTACAAAGCAGTAGAAACAAATACATGAAAAAAGTATGTGTAACTTCAATAGAGTTTTTATTTTGAATGCAGAAATCTTCAATGAAATTGAATATGCCTCACCATTTCTAGCTTTATTCTTATCCCAAAATATCAACCACAGATGCATAAGCTCCAGGGAATCTTTTGCCTGACTAGAAAACCTTATTTAAGAAACCAGTACCTCTAAACACATATCCTTGGGCGATTAGTCTCCTGTGAAACAACTGTTATTTCTACACATCTATTTAGAATAAACTTGGATGGTTGACTTTTGGAATGTTCTCATTTTTAGAATAATAGAGATGTAGGAAAAAGTGAAAATGCTCTGTCTGTATCTATTTAAAGTCTTGACAGCATTAAAGAAATTTATTCTCTTCCTGCAATCACTCAAATCTGAGCACAAAACTGAAATAGCATCGTAAACTGACAAAGCTCAAGGTAAAGTCAAATCTCAGTTCAGGGCTTTGCACACGTATTACATAGTTGTTTTTGTTTCTTATTCTAATTTAAACAGAAATTAAAATGGAAATTTTAAAAATATACTTTATTAATTTATAATTTACCTAAGTTCACATTTTATTTATTCCATCTATATGCTTACTATGAGATAAATTTATTATGTTTTGAAGCTGAAAGTAATTACAATTAGCATGTCTCAGAAAATGTCATTCAGGAAATAGTATTTGAATATCAAGTTTACTCCTGCAAATCAGCTTGGTTTTGTATTCTTATCTCTCTTCTCAATGGAAGTATATGAAATTAATCTCTTCTCTGTGGTGGCAAGTTAAAGATACCTCTGACTTAATCAATTTCTACATGGCACCTTTGCTAAACTATCTCCCAAAATAGTAGTTCTTATCACAATAATGCTGGTAGCCATGTGACTTTCAGTGTTCTTGGTGAGACTGAATCATCTTGCACTCTGGATATGCACCATTTATTATGACATCCTGCTAGAACCTGCAATCCATTTTCCCAGTCTTTCCATGGAGACGTTCATGTCTTTGTTTCTTAATGTGTAGATCCTAGACAGGGGTGATAGCAAAAGGAACAATGAACAAATATTAATCATGTGTTGTTTTAGGCAAAGGCTACACATACAGAAATATACATGGCATAAAAAACAAAATCCCTACTGTGATGTGATCTAACATGACACAAATGCTTTAGATAAGTCTCCTGAAGAAGGATTCTAGACGGTTACCGAAATGAAAATATAGGATATTATTAATAAGAAACAGGTAGCTATGGATATAAGCCCACTGTTAGCAGTGACTACAACCTCTAGTTTGTAAGTGTCTACACAAGCAAGTTTCATGACATAAGGAAAATCACAGTGAAAACTACCTACTCTATTAGGGCCACAAAAAGGCAAGTTTATGGCAAAAACAAACTGAGATACAGCATGGATTATCCTGACTATCCAGGATGCCTCCAACAAAGGAAACACACATTTTGGGGTTCATTGTGGTCAGGTAATGGGGAGGCTTACAGATTGGCAGTGTACCTGCTCTATGCCATGGTTATGAGCAGCACCATCTCAATTTTTACGCATGACACAAATGAAAAATATCTGTATGATGCATCTTGGAAAAGAAATGATGCTGCAGTTAGTGAAAAAGTCAGAACTGTAGGAGAAGACCCAGATCAAGAAGATAAATGTTGGCCAGTAGGCAGTACCTGGGGAATTTAAATGAGAGTCAATAATTACTGTGAACACAATGAAGAGATTTTCCAGGATAATTCCCATGTAGAACACAGAGAAGAACCAAAAAAGAAAAAGATGCATCTCCCAAGAGCTTGAAAGTCCAATCAATACAAATTTAGATACCGCAGAATTATTTACTCTATCCATTGGCCATTGACTCAGTCAGTAGAGAAGAAGCTTTAGTATTCTGAAGGAAGAAAGTGAGGAAGAATTGAGAAATACAAATGCTACACGTTGAAGTGTTGTTTGACCATAAATGATTTTGTGGGAAATATGTGGCAAGTGCTGAAATATGAAGACAGAAAACACACAAAGAGAGAAAATGAAAGAAAGATAAATGAATTGGGGAAATGCGGTGATAATAAGTTATTTATTAATTTATTAATAAATCATGTGATGATAAGTTATTATTAATAACAATTAGATCATAAGTTATTTATTAATTATTAATAACAATTAGACAAGAACAGCAAAGAAAAAAATCATGTGGGAATATGGCAGGTGGAGTGAAGGATTAGAGGGGCAAAGAATATAATTTCCCTAACGGAGTGCTTCTTTACCATGCGCATCGTGCAGTAATTACGGCTGCTTCAGTCTTACTCACCCATGTTCAACACAACGTCGTCCACGTAAGAAACAGTCACCGTATTTGAAATGTTAATCGCCTTAACTGTATTTATCTGCATGTACCCTTAGGGGAGGTACTCTCTGATCAATCTTCTTTTTTTTTTTTTGAGGCGGAGTCTCGCTGGGTCGCCCAGGCTGGAGTGCGGTGGCGCCATCTCGGCTCACTGCAGGCTCCGCCTCCCGGTTCCCGCCATGCTCCCGCCTCGGCCTCCCCAGCAGCTGGGACCGCAGGCGCCCGCCACCGCGCCCGGCTAACTTTTTGTATTTTTAGTGGAGACGGGGTTTCCCCGTGTTAGCCAGGATGGTCTCGATCTCCTGACCTCGTGATCCGCCCGCCTCGGCCTCCCAAAGTGCTGGGATGACAGGCGCGAGCCCCCGCGCCCGGCCTCTGATCCATCTCTTACTTCACACAGTCTCAGGCATTAATCACACACTAAGAGTGACTGGCCAATGAGGGAAAGAGCAATTAATCCCAGAGGTACAGTAGCATAAAATACAAAGACTTACTCTTCCGCTGGTTTTCCAATACGTGTGATTCCAGCCAATCACTTGTTGACTTGTTGGAGGATTAAGACTCACTTTAAATAAAGTGAAACTCAACCCCCACAAAAAAGAGTATCTGAAACTCAGAGAGAGGGCTTTTCCATGCTTTGTTAGGAATCAGAGTTGGTGCTTTTGAGAGTTCTGCTCTAGGATTAATACCTTTGACAATTTGAATATGAAGTTGGGAAATAATGGTGTCTTTACTAAAACAAAATATTTAATCATGATACACTAAAAGCACGTAAAAACTACAGGCCCACAGAGCCACAGAGATAAAGGTCACGATAGCTGGTCATCAAATATTTGAACTTTGTCCCATTAAGATATTTTTAAAGGTCAGTAAAATTGATACCAACTACACTTTAGAGAGAACATCTGTTATTATCACTACTTGTAAGTAGAAAGTTTGAAGATATCTATCCATAACATATTTGGATCCATTCATTATGTGATGTAAAGTGAAAAATTAGAAGTACATTTAAGAGTGACATATGAGAAAATCATTAAATAATGCAGAAAGGGGTAATTAAGATTCATACCAAAATGAACGTAGCCATTATAGACGATACAGATTTAGGTTTGTTGACAAGTCCAGTAAATTGTTAATGACAAAAGTTGGTTACAAAAGGATATGTCTTATGTAATATACTCTTTATTTGAATACACTGTAAAATATGTAAGTATATACATCAGCATCTCTAGAGAACCACTTTGGATAATGGCATTTTAGGTAACCTTAATATTAAAAAGGTTGACCATCTATATTTTGTTATTTTCTATATTGTTATTTTTCTTTTATGAGAAGGAAATGAAAGGAAAGCAATAGGAGAGAAAGAAGAGCAAGGAAAGGAAAGGAAAAAGAAAAGAATACTGTGAGATTTATGGAGGGAGTGAAATTTTCTCTCTCTCCCTCTTACACACACACACACACACACACACACACACACCAGTTAGAGACAGATGTTTTGTGGCATTGGTTTCATAACTTTATTATCCTTTGTTAAATCACCATTCTCAATTAGTGAATGACAGTTATTGGGTGCATTATGAAAAAATACCCGGGTGTTCTATGCCAAATTTTAACCAGAATTCTACATGCTAATTTGTTTAGAAAAAAATGAATACATGTGAATGAATTTTGAGTTAGGGAATATAAATGATAACTGGATGGCATTTTACAGAATCCTTGGGTGTCCCAGTTATTTAGAACAGTGAGTCCTACACTGAAAACAATAGGAAAACACTCTTATAAGCCATACCTTCATTTTGCCAATTAAATTTTATTATTAAATAATTTTTTCCTATGTTTTCTAAAAGAGATAAGACTGAATGAAACAATCATCCTAAAGAGAAAAGCTAGAATTGTGTAGTGGCATCAGGCTTACTAGTAACTCTAAATACTACTATGTCGTGGCGATTAACCTGTTTATAGAGGATCCTATCTTTTGTTCAAGACTTATCAGGAGTTGGTTCTAACATTCAGTTAGTTTGCCCTGAAATATTGAATTCATGCTCAGAGCAGTGAGAAAAGAGTGTATTCAAATAAGTTGAAAGAGAAAACATTTAGTGTTTTGTTTTGTTTGTTTGTTTGTTTTGCTTTTTTAGAAAACATTAAAGAATCAGGAATCCTCCTAAGGGAGAGTACCTTAAGAGTTGGTTGCTATCCTTGCTGGATATCTTGGCTTTAACACTAATAAGTGGGTAACCTTTTCAAACAGATAATGTAGAAAATCAGATAGAATGTGTGTCTCCTGACTTCAGTGATTGAAGATTCTCTCTGCCCTAAGGAACTAAGGGAAATCGTAACTTTTCTGAGACCAAAAACACAAAGAGACAATAATACTTAAAATTAATTTCACCAGTGCCTTGTTAACTGATGTATCATATGCATGGATTTTTCTTTTTTTCTTTTTCTTTTTGACTTTTATTTTAGGTTCGGGGGTACACGTGAAGGTTTGTTACATAGGTAAACTCATGTCCTGGGGGTTCGTTGTACAGATTGTTTCATCCCCCAGGTAGCGCCCGGTAGTCAGTAGTTATCTTTTCTGCTCCTCTCCCTCTTCCCGTCGTCCTCAAGTAGACCCCACTGCCTGTTGTTTCCTTCTTTGTGTTTACAAGTTCTCATCATTTATCTCACGCTCATAAGTGAGAACATGCGGTATTTGGATTTCTGTTCCTGCCTTAGCTTGCTAAGGATAGTAGCCTCCAGCTCCATCCATGTTCCTGTCAAAGACATGATCTTGTTCTTTTTTATGGCTGCATAGTAATCCACGGTGTATCTGTACCACACTTTCTTTATCCAGTCTGTTACTGATGGGCATTTAAGTTGATTCCATGTCTCTGCTATTGTGAGTAGTGCTGCAATGAACATTCTCATGCATGCGTCTTTATGGTAGAACGATTTATATTCTTCTGGGTATATACCCAGTAATGGAATTGCTGGGTTGAATGATAGTTCTGTTTTTGGCTTTTTGAGGAATCGCCATCCCATACTGCTTTCCACAATGGTTGAAATAATTTACAGTCCCACCAACAGTGTATAAGTGTTCCCTTTTCTCTGTAACCTCACCGATATCTGTTATTTTTGACTTTTTAATAATAGCCATTCTGCCTGGTATGAGATGATATCTCAATATGGTTTTGATTTGCATTTCTCTAATGCTCAGTATATTGAGCTTTTTTTTCATATGCTTGTTAACCATATGTATATCTTCTTTTGAGAGTGTCTATTCATGTTCTTTGCCCACTTTTTAATGGGGTTGTTTTTGTCTTGTAAATTTAAGTTCCTTATAGCTGCCAGATATTAGATTTTTGTCAGACTTACAGTTGGCAAATATTTTCTCCCATTCTGTAGGTTGTCTGTTTACTTTGTTGGTAGCTTCTTTTGCTGTGCAGAAGCTATTGTTTTATTAGATTCCACTTCTCAATTTTTGCTTTTGTTGTGATTGGTTTCCGTGTCTTTGTCATGAAATCTTTGCCCGTTCCTATGTCCAGGATGGTGTTGCCTAAGTTTTAGCTCTATTCATAACTACCTTAGTTCATTGTGATAGAGGCCCTTTTCAGAACTGATAGACACAGTTTCATTAAACCATTTTCATTCTGATAATTACCCCTTTAATTCTTGGCCCAGGCATTGACTAAGATTATCAAATGCTTTATCAAATATGGCATACAGAGGGAATGGCCCCAGCATTCTCTATATGAGGACAGAAAATCACTTCCCCCCACTTTCCATTAGGAAAATGGAACGCACACGATGTGAACATGTTTGGTCTCCGCAGTGGGAAATGTGACATATCATATGACATAAGGAAGGTGACAAGAGATAACAGATCCTTATAATACTAATTCTCCAAAGAGAGACAGTACAAATGTCAATGCATTTAGAAATCTCTCCTTTAACGGGTGTAATATAATTTAGTGATTAAGATTGTAAGAATAATGCTCTGAGGATTGAAATAATTGGAGATAGGAGGAAAACAGAAAAGTGGAGGAGATAGAAGGTTGAAGGGAAATGTAAGAAGAGAGAGATTGCCTTGACATTGCTAAACTTTGGGAGCGTTTTTCTGACCTACCTGTTCTGTTCCAGGGTGTGCAGTAGTGACACTGGGAAACTGATCATTTTGATTTCTGCTTTCTAGTAGAATCAGCTCCAAGACAAAAGTATATATACATTTTCTTCCCAATGATTAACAGAGTTAATTAGTACCACTAGATGTTAGTGACCCATTGATGCTTCTTAGATCCTTGTAACCAGGCCTCCATTGATTTCTCTTGGGAACCAGATCTATGAGTCATATTAATTTTCTCAAGAGAAAAAATATCAGAAGAGTTACTTGGTGATGGAAAGTAAGGAAAAAAAGAAAAATGCAGGAAATATGTTCCCTCTAGGACAGGAAAGTGATACCATGAGCTTACTTAGATTAACTGAGTTGAGGGAAACTAAGACGTCATCCACCATTGTTGAAGATGCCCTCATTCATGGTGTGGGGGTCAGTGAGCTTAATGTGTGTCAAGATATTCTTTTAGAAACAAGGAAGAGAGCTTTAATGCAATGGTGATATTCGTATAACTATTCTTGATTTCTTCCCATTCAACACTTTTTTTTTTACTTCATTGGATAGGGATGACTGAAAACAACACTTTTATCATCTGTTAACTATTCCAAAATTTATCATTCAACACTGAAAATGTGTTGTATAAATGAATGAATGTATGTCTTCGTGTAACCATTCTTTCCTTAAAACATACCGAGTTCTGACTAAATATAAGGGACATGGAGCCATGCTTAACTGTTGAGCAAAATAAAAGGGCTCAAAACTGTTTCTCTAGATCTGGAGGTGGTAAATTTGACTCATGGGACAAATCTTTTGTAAATAAAGTTTCACTGGAACCCAGTCACACTCATTTGTTTCTGTATTGTCTGTTGACAGTTTTTATGCTACAATAAGAGTTGAGTAGTTATGACAGACACTCTAGGGCCTGTAGAGCCTATAATATTTACTTTTGGCCTTTTACGGAAGAAGTTTACTGACCTTATCCTAGATCAAGGAAGTTTGGCAGAGGAAGAGGGTATGGTAGAAGCACCATCCATATCTATCTTCATCATCTTCATATATAGTTGGGAGTAAAGATGCAGATGAAAGTTGAGAAGGTAAGGTTCTTGAAGTCCTGTAAACCCTGCCTCCAGACACATTGTCTGGAATCAGGATGTCTACATGATTGCAGGGCTAATGTAAACTGAATTTGTGAGGACTTTGGTTAAAAAAATTGTTAAGAATTTCAAGGCAGAAACAGCAGAGCATTAAAAAAAGTGTAGGATCCTTTTAAGTGTGGGATCTTGTTCAACTGCACAGGACACACACTTGTGAAGCTGATGTTGTCTGCAATAATGCTAAGAATCTTAAAGTGTTGAATTAGAAGTTAATACAACTGGGCAAACCGCTCGGGTCCCCTTCCACACTGTGGAAGCTTTGTTCTTTCACTCTTCACAATAAATCTTGCTGCTGCTCAAAAAAAAAAAAAAGTTAATACAACTCTGAGCACTCAGTACATAAAGTTTCCTTTCCAGTTGCTGAAGGAATTTATAGTGGCCCGTACCCTGTACATTAACACATGAATGAGAGAAATGAGTGCATGAATATTTTGAACAGTGTGACTTAAGTGAGGTACGAACCTCAAAAAGACGTTTTTTAAAAATTTTAAATTTTAACTGCTATATTTCTTTTTGATAACAAGTTATATATCTTTATGGTGTGTAATGTGATGTTTTGATACATATGTATATTTATCGTGAAACAGTGACCACCATCAAGCTAATTAACGTAATTCATGATCTGACATAATTATCTTAGTCATTGCTTTGCAGAGTATGAGTGTCTGTTTCCTCACAGGCTCATCCATGATATATTATTATTTATGAAAACACAATAGCAATGCTATATTTTAAAATTTACATTTCTTTGATAAAAAGTGAGTTTGAATATTCTTCATATGTTTATTTTTTATTTGGATTTCTTGTTTTGTCCATAGTCTTTATATGCTTATTTTAAATTTGGTTTAAATTATATTTAAAAACCATTTTCCCACATTTGTTTTTACTTTAATGAATTAATTCTTCTGTATAATTTTTTTAATCTGAAAATGTCAGCTTTTTTGTTTCTCATTTTTAAAAATTATTTTTTAATTGACAAAAATTATATATATTTGTGGAATACAGTGTGATGTTTTAATATATGTGTATGTTGTTGAATGAATAAATCAAGTTAATTAACACATATATTACCTCATATTAACATTTACAATATACTGTATTAGCAATTTTCAAGCATACAATACATTATTAATTACAGTCAACATGTCGTATATTGGGTCCCCTGAATGTAATCCTACTAATTGAATTTTTTTCCTTTTATTAACAATGTCCCATTTCCTCATCCTCTCCCTGCCAGATAACCCTAGTAACCATCATACTATTCTCTGCTTCTATGAGTTCAGATTTTTTAGATTCTAAGTGAGATCATGCAATATTTGTCTTTCTGTGTCTAGCTTATTTCACTTAGCTTAATGTCCTCTAGGTTCATCCACGTTGTCTCAAATGACAGAATTTCCTACTGTTTTTAAGGCTGAATAATTTTCCATATCACATTTCATTTATCCATTCATCTGTCTATGAACAGTTAGGTTGATTCTATATCTTGGCCATTGTGAACATGCTGCAATAACATAGGAGTGCAGATATCCCTTTGACATATTGATTTCAATTCCTTTGGCTATATACCCAGAAGTAGGATTCTTGGATCATGTGATAGTTCTATTTTTAATTTGTACATGATGCAAGGGTTCCCTTTTCTATCATCCTCTCTGATAGTTGCTATCTTTCATCTTTTTGATAATAGCCATTCTAACAGGTTTGAGGGGACATCTCATTTTGGTTTTAATTAGTACTTCCCTGACAAATAGTGATGTTGAGCATTTTTTGATGTATCTGTGGCCCTTTGTATGTTGTCTCCTGAGAAATGTCTATTCCTGTCCTCTGCCGATTTTTAAATAATTTATTTAATTTATTTATTTATTTATTTATTTATTTATTTTACTTTTGACATATTTGTGTTACTTGTATATTCTGGATATCAATCCCCGGTTGGATGAGTAGTTTGCAAATATTTCTCCCATTCAAGAGGTTATCTTTTTCACTCTATTGATCGTTTCTTTTGTTGTTAGAAATTTTTTAATTTGGCATAGTCTCATTTGTCTATTTTTTCTTTTTTTGCCTGTGCTTTTAGAGTCATATCAGAAAAATGATGGCCCAAACCAATGTCAGGAAGAATATTTTCTATGTTTTGTTCTAATAGTTATACCATTTCATGTTTTAAATTTGTATTTAATCCATTTCCAGTTGAATTTTGCATATGGTATGAAATCAGGATTCAACTGCATTCTTCTGCATGTGGATATATAGTTTTTCCAGCATCATTTATTGAAGAGATTGTCTTTTCCCCATTGTCTTCTTGACATTGTTGTTGAAAATCAATTGAATGTAAATGTGTGGACTTATTTCTGTGCTCTTTATTCCATTCCATAGGTTTATCTGTGTGTTTTTATGACAGTATCATGTTGCTTTGATCACTATAGCTTTGTAGTAGATTTTGAAATAAGGTAGTGTGATGCTTCCAGTGTTGTTCATCTTGCTCAAGATTGCTTTAGCTATTCACAGTCTTTTGTGGTTTCATGCATATTTTAGAATTTTTTTTTTATTTCTGTCAAAAATACCTTTGGGATTTTGAAGAGATTGCAATAAATGCATTAGATCTATAAATTGCTTTAAGTAGTGAGGACATCTTAACAATATTACTTTTTCTAATCTATTAACATGAGATAGCTTTCTATTTATATGTGTCTTATTCAACTTCTTTTTTCAATGTTTTATAGTTTTTAGTGTACAGATGTTTGGTAAAATTTATTCCTAAGTATTTTATTTTTTGGATTCTATTGTTAGTGGTATTGTTTTCTTAACTTCTTTCTCTGTTAAGTCCTTATTAGTGTATAGAGACACTACTGATTTTTGTATGTTGATTTTGTATTCTGCAACTTCACTGAATTTACTAGCTCTGTAGTTTTTTTTTTTTTTTTGCTGAAGTTTTAAGGGGTTTCTACATATAAGATTATGTTATCTGTAAACAGAAAAGTTTGCTTCTATCTTTCCAATTTGGGTGTTTTTATTTTTATTTTGTCTAATTGTCCTGGCTAGGACTTTTAGTACGATATGGAATAGAAATAGCAAGAGTGGGAACCTTTATATTATTTCTGACCTTAGAGGAAAAGCTTTCATTTTTTTTACCAGTGTGATGATTTTACTATTATGATGTTAGCTGTGGGCTTGTTATATATGGCCTTTATTGTGTTGCGGTACATTCCTTCTATTCCTAATTTGTTTTATCTGATGTCTTATTATGAAAGAATGTTTACTTTTGTTAATGCTTTTTCTGCATCTATTGAGATGATAATATGATTTTTATTTTTTATTCTGTTAGTGTGGCATATCACATTTATTGGTTTCCATATTTTGAACCATTCTTGCATCTCAGAGATAAATTCTACTCGATTATGTTGTATGACCCCTTTAACGTGCTGTCGAAGCTGGTTTGCTGTTATCTTGTTGAGTATGTAGTTTTGTCATTTACATTGTCTATTCAAACTGACAGCTTGAATGTTGTGGTTATTGATATGATTTATAATATTCTTCATATTTAATAGGTATCAGTGGCTTGTCACACATGAAGCATACATATTTTTCCCACTTTGTCTTTATTTTTGTTTTTGAAAATTTAAATTCAATATGGTAAAATTTAGACTTTTTTCATGGTTTCTGCTTTTGCTTCCTTGCCTAAAGTTGCATACCTCATGCCATAATTATATACATTTTGCCTACATTTTTACAAGTTATTTTATGGTATAATTTTGAAATAGTTCAATCCAAAAATATTTATAAATGTACATATTCAATTTCTATGTGTCTAAAAATCCAACTTGTTGTTTGTTTTTCAAAAAGTATTTTATTCCCTCCACAGTATGTGGATCTATTTACCTCTCTTTTGAAAATATACCTTTATTACCAGACAAAACTTAGATTAGTTTCTGGGCTTTTTTTTTAAAAAAACTATTCTAATCTTTTTTTTTATTGTGAATAATTTAAGGAATCATTGATTAGTGTACATTCAACAGCACAGACTTCCTACCACAACTCCTTCCTGATTGCTAATTGATTAGTTTCTAGATCTGATATGTCATTGATTTCCTCCATTGCATTCCATATGGGTTAACTTTTGTATTTTGTGTGTTTAAGAAAAGCGTAAATAGAGATCAACCCAGCACTTTGCTGAGAATTGTCAAATGAATTTAGTATAATATTGGTTCTCACAATTAGTTTTTCTGTGTGGGTCAGTTTTCTAATTTCTGCACAACTATGGATTGCTGCTTAAAACGGATATTGATTAATTACACAGGGGTCAGCTTAAGATGGGATGTAATTGATCCAATAGCCAGAAGAAAACAGGAAGAAACAAATGTACACTTCTTATTTATGTTTCTTATCTTACTGTATACTCCAAGCATAGTATTAATGAGCAGAGTTGAGAACCTGACTCAGCCACTTATGCTTGCACAATAGGCTCTTGAATAAAGTAGTGATAAGTGTCAAGTATTAAGGTTTTGCATGGGTAATTCAGCATGATCTCTTATCATTAAGGCAGTTCTAGCTACAGCCTCTGTTGAATGTTTGACCTTTCAGAAACAGTCATAGATGTTCAGCCCTTGACATGATTGAGGCATTCAATTGGCAACGTAATGGCACATTGTTTACCCTCTCTACAGTGGAAGAATAGCAATTTGTTCTTACTGGGATAAATGTGTTTTCCACCTGTGGCTTTGACTCTCCTGCCATCAATGTCTTGGCCATTAAACTATCCAAAGATGCATAGAATGCCTAATGTTCTTTGTAACACACCTTAGGACAAAGGAATATATTTTGTAGCAGAGAAGGTACAATAATATGCATACAACCAAATGATCCACTGGTGCTATAATATACTATATTAAACAGAATCTATCAGTCTGATAGAACATTAAAAGATATTTCTTTTAAAGGTGGATATAAAGGTGCAACTAAATGCCAATTTAGGGATGGTACTTTTCAGAGTTGGGGCTCTGTGCTTTAACATGTTATACTTTGAACCAATGGACATTGTAAGATATTGGGTCCTAGAATATACAGGTTTGTAAACCAAGGGCAGAGGGTGAGAGTGGCTCCTCTCACTAAAACTCCCTTGGAGAATTTGAGCTTCCTGGACCTACAGCATTAAGCTCTGCTGGAGTAGGGAGAATGCTTCTTCTGGGTACATAGTAAGCATTCCAATAAGAATAAAGTTTTAGTAGCTCCCTGTCATTTTGGCTTCCTTGTGTATGTAGGTTGGCAGACAAAGAAATAAGTTATTATACTGGCAGTTGTAATTGACCTTCATTATCATGAGGAAATAGAAATATTGCTATACCTTTATCAACCATAGATGATGACAATTGTAAATTGGAAATTGCAGCAATTACAGCCTGACAGGGCCATGGTAATCATGGGTCTTTGGAAGTGAACTAGACTAGCAGAAGCACTGGATAAACATGAGGGGAATATAGAACAGGTTGTAGAAGAGGAAGATGAAGAATGTCATCCTGGGAACAAGTGTAATGACAGGACCCATTAACTCTTGTTCCTTTAACACTCTTGTGTTTGAAGAATTAATGATGGAGTGAACTCACATAGAGCATAAACTCCTCCACGCATGGAAAGATGTGGACTGTTTCTAGTGCTGTTGGTGTCTTGCACGTACCCCTCTCCACTTAATATTCCCAAGAGTTTGGATTGTTCTATAAGCTCCTGAGAATCTCTGGCTGAGGACTTTTCTTTGAATATAGAAAAAGCTAAACTCACAAGGTGGGGAAACCTAGAATTGCTGTAGAGAAAATGCCCTAGAGCAGCTCTAGACCAGTAAAGAAATGCACAGCTTCTTTGTTTCTTAAGTGGGACAACTACAAGTCATAGAATTTATACAGTCTCTTGATGGCCACAGCAAGAATGTGCCCTTGATGTCCACTGTAGTAAATACAAATCAATGCATCCTTTATTGGCATCCTCCCCTTTTCTTGCCTGGGGAGGCAGAGGTTGCAGTGAGCCGAGATCATGTCACTGCACTCCAGGCTGGGTGACAGAGAACCTGTGTCAAAAAAAAAAAAAAAAAAAGGAAGAAGGAAGAAGAAGAAAGGAAATATGGCATGTTGGGGATGGGGATGGAAGTGGGTTGCAATTTTTAAAAGGGTAGCCAGGGAAATGCTTACTGAGATTTTTAAGTACAAGTCTGAAGGAGGCAAGGGAGTGAGTCAAACATATACATGCAGGAAGGGCTCTCTAGGAGGAGAAAGCAGTGAGAGCAAAGGCTGGGAGCCAATGCAGCCCTGGTGGCTTCGAAGAACAGCAGAGGGCCAGCGTGGCTGCGGCAGAGGGAGTCAGGGCAGTGTGCTAGGAAGTGAAGGCAGGGAGATGCAGGAGGTGTGGATTGTTGGGGCGTCACAGGCTGTGTGACTCCCAATTGCTGTGTGACAAATTCCCACAAATCCAGCAGCTGCAAATACGACCCAGTGTTCCCCAGCTTCTGCAGGTCAGGAGTTGGCACAGCCTAACTGGTCCTCTGTAAGGTGCCATCAGGGTGTCAGCCAGCACTGGGTTCTCATCTAGGGCTCAGCTGTGTGGATGGCTCTGCTTCCAAGCTCACATGGCAGCATTCAGTTCTATGCAGGGTGCTGGACACAAGACCTCAGCTTCCTGGTGAGCATCGACTGGAGGGGGCTCTTAGCTCCTCGCAGCTGATCCCCTCCATGAGGCAGCTTGCAACATGGCAGCCTGCTTCTTCAAAGGCGTCAAGAGAGAGTCCCCAGAAAGACAGGTTATGATCTTAACATTTTATTTATTTATTTTTTGAGACAGAGTCTCGCTCTGTCACTGAGGCTGGAGTGCAGTGGCACGATCTTGGCTCACTGCCACCTCCACCTCCTGAGTTCAAGCAATTCTCCTGCTTCAGCCTCTTGAGTAGCTGTGATTACAGGCGTGCACCACTATGCCTGGCTAATTTTTGTATTTTTAGTAGAGGCGGGGTTTTGCCATGTTGGCCAGCCTGGTCTCGAACTCCTGACCTCAGGTGATCCACCCGCCTCAGCCTCCCAAAGTGTTGGGATTACAGGCACGAGCCACTGCATCCAGCCAGTGATCTTATACAATATGATCAGTACATGAATCACATATATACCGCCTCCTTCATAAGCAAGCCACAGGTTCTGCTTACAACCAGAGAAGGGGATTATTCAAGGGTGTGAATGGCAGAGGTGGGGGTTGTGGGGGTCACCTTAGTATCTGCCACCACAGCCTGTCCTCTGTCCCCAAGACTCCTGTCCCTTGTGCATGCAAAACACATTCACCCCTCTTGAGATCCCTTCATGCTCACAGTCCCGAATCTCATCTAAATCGGGTTTAGGTGTAGAACAGATTTCTTTGGATGTTCCTCTGATCTGGAAAACTAAAGATACAAGCTATCTGCCCCCTACATATGCAACACACAATGGTGGGTAAAGCTTGAGACATTGCTGTTCAGAAAGAGGCAGCAGGGGAAGGATGAAGGAATGGTGGTTCTGAAATCCAGCTGGACAGATGCTGGTGTTCCCTAAACAGGTTTTAAGATGTGGGAAGATTCCATGTCTCTTGGCTCTGCCTTCTGGGCTTCTGCCTCTGGGTCATCCTTCTTTTCTCACGAAAGATCCACGTGTTTGCAGCCAAGTAGTTTTATCAGCCTTCTTCTTGACAGCAGAGTTTGGGGTCTCTGACAGTCTTCTTTCATTTTGCACTCTGTCCCCTACAGACCAATCTGCCAGCACTGTGGGTGAAACAGCTTTCCCAAACCCTTTGCCTGTCCTCTGTGGGTTTCGGTGGGGCTCATAGTCGATTTGTCAAGAGCCATACCCATGAATCTTTTAGAGATAAACTCTACCTTTCTACCTTCAGCTCCTGCCAAGATGGCCCCCAGGGTAACTCACTGAAGCTTCCCAAGGGCCCTAAGGTTTGGTGGAGAGGTTCTGCATGGTACACCCTTGTAATCTCTTGCAACAGACCTCTGTGTGACTCATTGCTACTCCCATCCTTTGATCTTTATGCATAATCACAAAAGACTGTACAGTTACACCCTATGCCACATGCTCAGAAGCCATTTGTTAATTTCAGCATCTTTTTCCATGTGGGGAGACTGACAATTTTCAAAATCATCAAGTCCTGATTCAATTTTAACAGTTTAAAAACCAGTCTCTTTCTCAATTTATCTCTCTTCTCTCACACTATATTATAAGCAGTAAGAAGAAACCAGGCAGCATCCTCAACATTTTACTTGGAAATCTCCTCAACTGCATACCCAATTTATCACTTACATGATGTGTTTGCCACGTAACTGCAGGAGACCACTTTTCTAAGCTTTCTGCTCCTACCTAACAAGGATCCCTGTCCTCCAGCTTCTAGTGCGAAAATCCTCACTGCCTTTGAGCAGTGGCGAGTCCTCCGAGCCCAGATATCTAGCAACAGTCTGCTCACCTTAGAGTCTGTCTGTCACCACTTGGGCCATTTCTAAGGGACCAGAGCTTTCCTCTGAGATGAGGCTTTGAGCTGAGGAGCCACATGATCTGACATGGTTAAGGATGCCTCTGGCTTCCCTGTTGAGAATAGACTGAAGGGGCAAAAATGGAAGCAGAAGAGCAGTTAGGAGGCTCCTGTCAAACCCACGTGGAAGGCAGGCTCTGGGCTGTGTTACTGGACTAACACTAACACCGTCCCCTTGCACTTCTGAGGGGTCCCTGGAACTTCCCCAGGGGATGAGACTCCTGGCTAGCAGGACTCAGCCCCTCCCCTTCAACTTTACTCAGGACCTGGTCTCCCCTCCTTAAGGTCTCTGGAGCCCAACGCACACTTCAGCCCACTCTCACAGGCATTCTCTCTGTCCACAAAATATCAACGAAGAGTCTTCTGTGAGTGCAGCATGGTGTGAACACTGGGAGTACAAGGAGAAATAAGACACAGTTGCTGTGCTGGAGAAGCTTGTGCCCAGTGGTGGTGATACTGCCGGAGGTGAGACCACTATGCCAGCACAGGAACAAAGACGGCAGGGGCACAGGGCAATTCAGGGGTGCAGATCTGGGGGCATCCAAGAGGCTCCTAAGCCTCAGTATATAAACTGACAGGTCACAGCCTGCTCTAGGAAACACCTTCTTAAGGGTTGGAGTTATCTCTGTGCATCCCATCCCCACCCCACCAAGCCGCCCTTGGCCCTGCCCTCAGGAGCCTCTGCTTGGCCTTGCTAATTCCTCTCTTCTCCCTGAAGCTAGAGTGAGGTCCCTCTTGGCAGCCTTTGTATCTAGAGAGAGCCGTCCAATAGAAACATAAGGTGAGCAACATGCTTAATTTTAAAATTTCTAGTAGCTACATTAAACATTTTTAAGTGAAATTAACTTTAATAATAAATTTATTTAACCCAATATATCCAAAAGATTATCATTTCAACATGCAATCCTATTTTAAAAATAACTAGTGAGGTACCTGACAAAAAAAAAATCCCTTTTCATACTAAGTCCAGAAGATCTTTGTGTATTTTATACTCATAGGACATCTGAGTTTGGATGTTACCTTTTTATTGGAAATATGGGATCTGCACTTAGATTTCACTGAATTTACATTGAAAAGGTAGGTTCACATACCCAAGTTGTCTCACACATACCTAAATGTTTTCTGGTAACTGGGTGGAGTATCAGTTTTTATATTTATCTTTGCCTTAGCTAAAAAACAAATTAATAGTGCAGGTCCTCAGCCGCACGCAGGCAGTTTTCTCCACGGTCCAAATGGTTGCCCGAATTCACCCAGACCCCGCTGTCGTCCGCTTTTTCATGCAGACATTCAAACAACTAGCCTCCCTTCCTCCTGGCACCCCCACCCCATCGCCAGCACCCTCCAAACCAGTTTCCCTCCTGTCCTCATCTCAGCCACCCATGACTCACACACACATCTGGCTCCCCTGGCCCACTTTTCACCTGGTCCTCATAATCTATGCATAAACATTAACATACCACAGAATCAATCTGCATACTGATTACTTCTGCTCTGGTCAAATTCTTGCTTTCAGGATCAGGAGGCTTTCTCCCCACACCAAACTGGGCCTGAGGAAATAGTGTCTTGTCTTCCTGTCACCCCTCCCGTAGTTGCATGTCTAATGAGACAAGGGGTGTCTCAGGTGAAGCAGGACAGGGAGGATGCCAGCACTTGGGTGGGAGAGGCTTGAGGAGTGCCTGTTGGGGGATGTGTTGGGGAAGGATGACTTTTCACATATGGCTCATTGTGTCGGGATGATTTCGTTGTTAAATAAGCACCTACAGGATGATTTCACATTCCATACTTCTAAGTTTTTATAATTTAAATTCTTTCCGCCAGGCTGGGTTTTTTTTTTTTTCCAAACTTTAAATCTGTGGCTAGAATTGGTTTGATTTACATAATCCTGCCCCTGAGATTTAGCCCCACCCCTGAGAGCCCCCTCAGAGCCACCCACAGCCAGGACACCTCTGCTGGCCTCCCCTTCCCCAGCCTTCCAACTTGTGGCAGGCCCCTGGCTCTGGCCTCCCCCTATATGGGAATGAGCCAGCTGCACCGCTGCTGACAGTGGCTGGGATAATCCTCCCTGAGCTGTTCCAAGGATTAGTCCTGCTGCCCTGTGCCCAGCTCCCACACAACGGGGTTTCGGGGCTGTGGACCCTGTGCCAGGAAAGGAAGGGCGCAGCTCCTGCAATGCGGAGCAGCCAGGGCAGTGGGCACCAGGCTTTAGCCTCCCTTTCTCACCCTACAGAGGGCAGGCCCTTCAGCTCCATTCTCCTCCAAGGCTGCAGAGGGGGCAGGAATTGGGGGTGACAGGAGAGCTGTAAGGTCTCCAGTGGGTCATTCTGGGCCCAGAGATGGGTGCTGAAGCTCCCACGCCTGCCTGTGAAAATGGAGTCCTCTCTCACCTGGGAGAGCCAGGTGCTGCCCCGAGAAGGATGCATTTATGGCTTCGTGAAGTCTTTCCTGACCCCCGATGCTGCTGACTATAGGTAAGTCTGAGCAAATCTGGGGGAGCCTCATCTTGGCATGAGAAAGAGATGGCTTCTTCTAAGCCCACTGGCCGTGATCCCAGGATTATAACACATTCTGGCTCAAGTCCAGACTATTTGTAGAACACAGGAGATCCTCCATGAGAGGTAGTATAATATAGAGGATATGTGTGCTTACTAAGAGGCTGCCTGTCTGACCTTGGACAAGTTGTTTTTATTTATTTATTTATTTTTTATAGAGACAAAGTCTCACTATGTTGCTCAGGCTGGTCTTGAACTCCTGGCCTCAAGCGATCCTCCCACCTCAGCCTCCCAAAGTGTTGGGATTATAGACATGAGCCACTGCACCTGGCCGACCTTGGGCAAGTTCTTAAACCCTTCAAAGCCTCATTTTTCTCCAATCACAAAAGGGAAAGATGGTAATATTTTCCCCACCAAATTCTTGTAAGTATTAAACATTGTATATGTATTTTGAACACGATTAAGCTCTAAACACTTGTTAGGAAGCAGGACTGGCATTTGAAACAAACAGCTCTTTTCCCACAGGTCGGATGCCCTCACAGAATTGAGATTATGTACGTAAAACACCAGGTGCCTAACCCGGCACAGAGCAGGAGGGCTAAGCGTGACATCCAGCACGTGGTCAGTGGAATCCAGTATTCCTACCCACCTCTCTAGTCTCCCCTCCACCCCTCTCCCTTTCAGAGGCACCAAGCTGCTTGTGGTCTTGTCTATTCCCACTCCCTGCCTGACTGAACATTTTCTCCACCTCCTGATCATCAGCAGCAGAAACTGGCTGCTCTTCCTCCTGGGTAGACAGCCAGACTGTATTTCCCAGCTGCCCCTGCAGTGAGATGTGGCCATCGGAGCCAGCATTGGCCAATGGACTCTGCATGGGAGTGACGCATGCTGCCTCCAGGCTTGTCCCTAAAACCTCCCACGTGTCCTCCGCCTGCTCTTCCCACCTCCAAGGAGCACGGCAATTGTGGAAGACCCAGATTAGTGATGGCAGAACCATAGATGGGAGGAACCTGGGTCCCTGACTTAAAGTATCATGGATTTGGATGTTCCCTTAGTGAGAAATAAACTTCCATTGTGTTTAAGCCTTTATTTGTTTATAGTTGGTTACAGCAACTGCCTTCTTTTAATTAAAACACTCCTGCTGCTTCATGTTGCTGGAATGCTTGTAACCCTGCCCTGCTTCACCAGGGTAACTCCTACTTGGCCTTTAAGTTTATCTCTGCTGTCACACCGTCCAGAAAGCCTTCTCCCAGCACCACAACCCCTCCACCAAGGGTTAGGTGTCTCCAGCAGATGCTGCACAGCTGGCTGCCCTTTGCCCACCCTCCCCTTCTTTCTCATAGAATCCTAGGACTCCTCTGTATCTAGAAGGAGTTGTGTGGTCCAGTGCTGGCCAAGAAGATGTGAGAGCAAGTCGCTGGGTGGAGATTCTTAGGAAAACTTCTTAAAAAGAACGAGACTGGGCTCCTTTCTGCCTTTTACCATTTTTGTGTATGCTTGCCTTCTTCCCACCTGGGACTCTGATGCAGCACCTGTGAATGGGCACACATATTACAACTCTTAGGCTGAAACCCACGTTCTCAGGCAGAGGTCTCTTGTGGGCATTTAGTGCTATAAATGTCTCTTTACACACTGCTTTAAATGCGTCCCAGGTCTTAGGGTATATACCCAAAGGATTATAAATCGTGCTACTATAAAGACACATGCACATGTATGTTTATTGTGGCAGTATTCACAATAGCAAAGACTTTGAACCAACCCAAATGTCCATCAATGACAGACTGGATTAAGAGAATGTGGCACATATATACCATGGGATACTATGCAGCCATTAAAAAGGATGAGTTCATGTCCTTTGCAGGGACATGGATGAAGCTGGAAACCATCATTCTGAGCAAACTATCACAAAGACAGAAAACCAAACACTGCATGTTCTCACTCACAGGTGGGAATTGAACAATGAGAACGCTTGGACATGGGGCAGAGAACATCATACACTGGGGCCTGTCAGTGGGTGGGGGGCTGGGGGAGGGATAGCATTAGAAGAAATACCTAATGTAAATGACAAGTTGATGGGTGCAGCAAACCAACATGGCACACGCATATCTATGTATCCAACCTGCACATTATGCACATGTACCCTAGAACTTAAGTATATAAAAAAAAAAAGAAAAAAAAACTTTCACCTTTTTCCAAAGTGTTGGGATTATGGGTGTGAGCAACCACATCTGGTCCTTTTTTTTTTTTTTTAATGGAGGTGAAATTCATATAAGTTTGACCATTTTAAATTGAACAATCAGTGGCATTCAGTACATTCACCATGTTGTGCCAACACTATCTCTATGTAGTTCCAAAACATTTTCATCAGCTCAAAATGAAACCTTGTACCCATGAAGCAGCCACTTCCCATTCTCCCCTCCCCTTAGCCCCTGGAAATCGGCTTTCTTTCTCCACGGATTTACATATTCTGTATATTTCCTATAAATGGAATTACACAATAGGTGACCTGTGTCTGGCTTCTTCCACTTAACCTAATGCTTTTGAGGTTCTGTCACATGGTGCCATGGATCAGCTCTGCCTTCCTTTTTATGACTAATACTCCACTGTATGTCCATATCACCATTTGTGTATTCACTCATTAATCTATGGACACAAGCCTCATTTTTAAGCACTTCAAATATGTTAACTCACTGAATCCTCACCACAAAGACAGATTCAGTTATTACATATTGACAGAGTGAAAACTGAGGCACAGGTAACATGCCTAGGATCACGTGGCTATGAAGCAGAAAGAGGACTCCAGCCGAGGCAGTCTAGTCCCAAAGTCCTTCCCTTCCTAGTAACCACTATGCTCTCCTGCCTCTCAGAGAACAACCCACATGGCACAACACGAGGGCTAAGCTGTCTGGTCTGTCTGGTGAAGCTTCAAATGCTGTTCATTTCCGATAAGGGGAGGTTCCTGGGCTGCAGAGGCTTCCTAGAGGAGGAAGACCATGTAAGGTCTAACTCAGGGCAGGTCAGGATGGTGTGAACTCACTCTGAACACAGTCACCGATGGGTGTTTATGAAAACTGGCTCTGGAACTCCCACAGGGAAGGTTCTTATCTTTGCGTGCACAACACAGAGCCCTCTGGGTAGACTTCTAGACCCAGGCCTCTTTCAAATACATTAGAAACCTCAGCAAGATAAACTATTTTCTGTCTGGCTGCATCTGTCTATCTGTTTAGAGAGCAGGACATTTCCATCCTCCTCTCTCCAGGCATCCTTGGAAGTCTTTCCCACAAGCAAGACATCTTGGTGAAATCTAATGCTGCGGAGGGAAGTGGTTTTCAGGAGAGAGGAGTCTGTTCCCAGAACTGTAGCACAAAAGCTAGAGGCTGAGTAGGAACATCTTAAACTAAGTCCTCAGTCTTATTTCCAGTTTTCTTCCTGTAGATCGGGGCTTAGGACACCCTGTCACATTTTCTTCACTCCTCCACCAGGAATTCCTAAAGTCCATGCTCTTGGATCCTGGCAAATCCAGGAGGCTGGGGGATGTGGCAAGCTTCAGCAAGACTGCCTGGGACCAACCCTGCAGCCTTAATTCCCAGGCCCGCTCAGCCCAGCTGGCCAGCAAAGGCAGGCAGAGCTTCTGTGTCCACACATGAGAATGACCTGCAGCTGTTCTTTGTCCAGGCTGAGGTCCAGGATTCCCACTGCAGCTCCTAGGAAATCTTTAAAATTAGGTCGGGGATGAGCCTGTCAGTAGATTAGGTAGGGAACTTTTATGAAGTTGAGGGTGAACCATCTGGAGGGTGAACTGGCTGGTGTGATTCTAGAACTGGGGGTGGTGCCTAGCAGTGCATTTGTGAGAAGACACAGCCAGGCTTGGTATATGATGTGGTGTGTGTGTATATTCACAGGCATCGTGGAGCATATACACTTTTTTTGTGTGTGTTGAAATAAACCTTACAGATTACAAAGTACTTTTTTTTTTTTTTCTGAGACAGGGTCTCTCTCTGTCGCCCAGCCTGGAGTGCAGTGGTACAATCATAGCTCACTGCAGCCTCGATCTCCCAAGCTCAAGTGATCCTCCCGCCTCAGCCTCCCATGTAGCTGGGACTACAGGTGTGTGACACCATGACTGGCTATTTTATTTTATTTTTGTAGAGATGGAATCTCACAATATTGCCCAGGCTGATCTCAAACTCTTGGGCTCAAGCAGTCCTCTCGCGTCAGCCTACCAAAGTGCTAGGATTACAGGCATGAGCCACCACGCCCAGCCAGATTACAAAATACTTTGACATCTTTTCTCTACAGCCCTCAAAAGGAGGCAGGGCAAGCACAATTAAATCCCATTACAAATGGGGTGACTGAAGCTCCATTCATGGCTTGCCCAGGGTCACACAAAGAATGAATAGCAGATCCCTGAGCCTGTGTGCTTCCCTCTGTGCCAGGCTGCTTTACCCAGGCATGGGTGCACCTTGTGCATGGGACATTTCTCCTTTGTTGTGTCCTGAGTACCTTAAGCCACTCAGATATTGCTCAGGTGGAGTGAGGGGAAAATGTTTTCAGGTTGTATTAGTCAAAACAAAATACCACACACTGGGCGACTTTAAAATCATACATTTATCCCTCACAGTTCTGGAGGCTTGGAAGTCCAAGTTCAAGGTGGCAGCTGGACGGGTTCCCGGTGAGGGCTCTCTTCCTGGTTTGCAGACAGCCACCTTCTCTTCGCATCCTCACTTGGTGGGAAAAGACAGAGGAGAGAAAGAGAGAGAGAGAAAAATGAGATAGCGAGAGAGAGAGAAATGAGATAGAGAGAAATGAGAGAGAGAGAGAGAGAGAGAGAGGGAGACACAGAGACAATGCTCTCTTTTCTTACCAGATCTATAATGAGGGCCCCACCCCATGACCTCATCTAACCGTAATTACCTACCAAAGGCCCATCTCCACATACCATCACATTAGGGGTTAGGGTTTCAACATAAGCATTTGGAGAGGACATAAACATTCTGTCTACAACATGAGTGGAGATCCATCTCTTCTTTACCTCTGGTAAGGGGACCACACGCTGCAGCCAGCGAGACAGTGGCATGTTCTTGTTACAACTCGATCTAACTCCCCCAGAAGAGGAGGCAGGGAAGGCGGACAAAACTGGGAGAGGGAGAGAGTGTTAGGAAGAGAGTAGGGTGGCCAGAGGCAGCAAATAAAATATAAAATGCTTAATTCTGAATCTCAGATAAACAACCAATAATGTTTTTTAGCATAAGTATGTCCCAAACTAAGCTTGGGACATATTTATGCTACGAAATTATTCGTTGTTTATCTAAAATTCAAACTAGCTGGGCATCCTGTCTTTTAATCTGGCAACCCTAAAAGGCAAGGGCCAAAAATGCCGGAGGCAAGCCAACGGATTCCAGGAGGGACAACTGCTGGACTTTGGACTGATGATGCTCTTTTTATATATTTAACTTTTTAAAAAAGCCTCTTTTCTTTCTTTTTACCAGCTTTTCACTAGCTTTTTAAAAATTGTGGTAAAACATACATAACCTAAAATTCACCGTCTAAACCATTTTTCAGCATACAGTTCAGTGGGATTAAGTAGATTCACACTGTTGTGCCGCCATCACTACCACTCATTTCCAGCACCCTTCCATCACCCCAGCCTGAAACTCTACCCATTGAACACGAGCTGCCCAACTCCGCCTTGCTTCCCCATTCCTGGCGACCACTGCTTCTGTCTCTGTGAATTTTGACTATTCTAGGCACTTCACAAAACTGGACTCATACGATATCTGTAGTTTTGCGTCTGGCTTCTCTATTGAATTCTTAAAGGGGGGTGGGAACTAAGCAGATCACAAGGGAGCTGCCCACAGAGGTAAAGACAAGGTCAGGTAGGCTGAGAGACGCAGGAAAGCGGGTCAAGGCGTAGGGCTGGAGGGCAGGGGCGGGCCCTGGGCGTGGGCTGGGGGTCCTGCCCCGGGGCGCACCCCGGGCGAGGGCTGCCCGGAGGAGCCGAGGTTGGCGGACAGCTTGGCCCTGAGCTTGAGGGGAAGGCAGCGATGGGACAAAGGACGGAGGTCTAGGAAGAGGGTCTGCAGAGCAGAAAGCACGGGTAGGGGCGGCCTGACGCTCGGAAGACAACGCATGGGAGCCGTGTGCACGTCGGGAGCTCGGAGTGAGCGTGAGTTCCGTGCCCAGGCCCGCGACTCGGCCCGACAGGACAGCGCTCCGGGTCGACGGGGTCCTGGAGCCGCGCTCGGGGAGGGCGCAGTGGAGGGCGAGCGGCGGCGTTAGGACCCGGAGGCGCGGGCGGACTGGGGGCGGCGGGGCTAGGACCCAGCGGCTCCGGCAGAGCGGAAGCGGCGGCGGGAGCTTCCGGGAGGGCGGCTCGCAGGTGAGGAGGCGTCCGGGGCCGCGGGAAGTAGGGTCGTGGGGGCCTGGCGGGGCGAAGTAGGGGACCCGGAGGGGCTGGAGGGAGGCGGGCGGGAGGCCCGGGACCGTTCCTGACCGAGAAGCCTGCGCCAAGCTGGTGTTCCGCGGCCGCTGCCCGGTGCCCGGCTCCACTGCGAACGCCGCCGCTGGGCCCCGACCGCCCGGGAGGCGTCTTGGGCTCGCCCCGGAGCTTCCTCCCTGGAGCCGCGCCCTGCACCCGGCCTTGCCCGGCCCTAGCAGGGAAGCCAAGGCTTGTGGGGCGCAGGGACCCGGGCTCTGCGGGGTCCCGGTTCCGCCTCCCCACTCCTGCGTCTTCCCGCCCCTGCCGGGTTCTGGGAAGCCTCGCGCGGCTCTTCCGCAGCTGCTGCCCGCCCGGAGCTCCTGGTCCCTCGTAGGGGACCCCACTTCTCTGACACCGCGTTGGGTTCCCGGGGCCTACAGCGAGGCTTGTAACTCCGGGAGAGACCCTGGAGCGGGGTGTGGGAGAACGGTCTGGAGGAAGGGCTCCGAGCACTTCGAAAGTATAAACCGCGGTCCCAAAGAGGCGTGCTGTGTCTGCATTTTCCTGGGAGTGCACGGTTTACATTCTCGAAAGCAGTGCTGTCGACTAGAAATATTGAGCGATACACATGTACAAGTTTTGTCACTTAAAAAGAATTTGAAAAAACTTCATAGATGCAAAAAAAAAAAAAAACCACCATTATTAAAGAATACTTAGGTATTTGTGGAATGCATTGAAGAGTTAACAAAATGGATAGGCAGGAAATATCGCAGACCTAGAATGAATTACAGTTACCCACTGTGGAACTGAGGAGCTAGGGTTTCTCATAAAACTCCCTGATAGAAGACGACTTTTGATAAATTTTTTTTTCCGCCAACAAAATCCCCTGTCTTCTCAACTAGTTACTGTCTGTCCACTAAATAAGAGGTGGTCCGTCACTTCTTCAGATGAGCAACTACAGGCTTTTCAAAAGATAATTGCTAATCAACCCCTTTGTGCCTGGGTTTTCTTATTTGTAAAAATAGATACTACTACCTAACTCCAAAGTGTGTGGTGAAGACAAACAATTGGGGTGATGTATACTAAAGTAACGAAAGTGTTGACCACACACTACGGGCTGGTTAGTGTTAGATTCCCTTGTTTTTCCCTCAGTATCAAAAACAGATCTAATTTAGGTTTACATAAAGACAAAGTATGAAGATAAGGTGACTTACAGTTGGTACTACTAACAAAATGTTTGGGCTAAGATTTGCATTATTGCATGAAAACAACAAAACATATCAATAAATAACAAAAAGCTTGGAATTCAGACGACAGATCCAAGTCTGGGCTTGATCTCAAGCTAGTGTTTTGATGTTGAAAAAATGTTATTTGGTCTTTCTAACCCCATTTCCTTATGTAAAATAGGGGATGATGATAAATTCACTGATAATAAGAGTTAAATGAGATTCTTGAGGAGTCAGAATGGTTCTAACATGTGTAGGTATTATTAGCAGTCATACTGTAGCATAAGAAAATACCGTCTGCTGAAAGAGGGACAATAAAGATTATCTACATGGTCATCATTTAAAAGCTACCAGATATAGGAAGAAGGGGCCATAAAATGATAACGTTATGATGATTAATTTTGATGCTTAGGTCAGAGTCCATTCTAGGATATCTGCTGCCCAAAAACAGCAGAGACTCATTTCTTTGGAATCACAGGACGCTGAGTGAGAGGAAAGAAAAAGAAAAGAAATATTTAAGTCACATATGTGATTTCTAAAAGTAAAAAGAAACAGATGAAATTAGTGATATATTTTTAAAATCCAGTATATCCCAAATATGGTTATTTTAGCACGTAATCAATATAAAATAATAAGATATTTTACATTCTTTTTTTCTAGCCTTTGAAATTTGGTGCATATTTTACACTTATGGCACATCTCAATTCAGACTATCCACATTTCAAGTGCTCAGTGGCTGCATGTGCCTGGTGGCTACCATATTGGACAGCACAGGTCTAAGGATTTCATTCCTGCCACAAGTCCAAACTCCTAGCTTTAATTTTGAGTGTTTTTAACAAACTGGCCTCTGTTTATCATTCTTTCTTCTAGTACTTCCCCAAGGATGATTGTACCCTCAGCACTCAAGACCGCTTGCGGTTCCCCTACACACTTTTTGTTCAAGCTGTTTCTTTTACCTGGAATGCTGTCTTTGCACCTTCTTCCTGGACCTGGTTCACCCTCGTTGCCTAGGCTGGAGTGCCATGGCGCGATCTTGGCACACTGCAACCTCCACCTTCCTGGTTCAAGTGATTCTCCTTCCTCAGCCTCCCGAGTAGCGGGGATTACAGGCATGCACCACCACGCCTGGCTAATTTTGTATTTTTAGTAGAGATGGAGTTTCACCATGTTGGTCAGACTGGTCTCGAACTCCCGACCTCAGGTGATCTGCCTGCCTTCGCCTCCCAAAGTGCTGGGATTACAGGCGTGAGCCGCTGCGCCCGGCCGAGAGGCACACATTCTGCTAAGAGCTTTTTCCTGACTCCCCTAACTCCAAGAGGGATTTGTCACTCCTTAGCTTTGTACCCATGACTGGAGTAGAATGAATTTAATTTGAGTTTAGTTGTTTTTGAGACTCTCCCTGGCTAGTGTAGTGTCTTATTCGTCTTTGTTGTGATCATGGCCTGCACCTAACAGATGATCAGTAGATGTTTGCAGACAGAAAGTAAACCACTCATCAGGTGTATTCAGTCCCATTCTTGAACGGGCTTGCTGCCTCCTTTTTGAGGAGATCTGTGTATGTACTCTTCTTTCACGCATATGTGTGAGCAAACACACACACACTAACAAGAAATTCATCTGAAGATGTGCACAGGAAATATCTTGCATCTTTACCCCCTTTGTGATCTTACATATGGGAGAACTGAGGCACAGAAATAAGTTAGGACAGCCAGCAAACTTGCATCAGTATAAATACAAAGAAGGGGAGGGAGGAACATGCTTGAAAGGGGTGTGCTGGTCTCAGAGGGTTGGGTTTCTCAGTTGGCTGGGCATCAGCTGGCCATGCTTTAGTTATTTGATGGGAGGAAAAATAAGTGGGAGGTGAGGAGTAACTCCTGGGCTCTGATGAGTATTCAAGGCAAGTACAGATCTGGAAAGCCTGTATGCAAAGGAGGAACTCACTGAAAAGTGCTGGCCTGAGGAGGGCAGAAGGGAGGGCTGGGGAAGCCAGCAGCGGGAGCAAAGGAGTAGGCTCCAACTGGGTGAAGATGTTGGTGTGGTGCGTTATGTAAAATATACAAATTATTATTGGAAATAACCACGTCTCAGCAGTGCTAGTTCTCAGTTTGGAGAATGGGAAATCGAAAGGATCAGATTCAGAGACGGCAACTTACTCAAGGTCACAGCATTTTAAACCCAAGTGAAATCTCCTAGGCCCTTCATGCCACACTCATCCATCCCTACCTACTTGTGTTGCAACCAAGGGCCCCACTGTAGTGCCTAGGGGAGCAGGTCTAGGGCACAGTGCCAGGCCTGATTAATGTCTTCCTTACCATTTTCCAGTGAGGGGCTGTGATTAGGCCTATTTATAGGGGCCTGGTCCCTTAATATTCTGCCTGGTGCATCTCTTGCCAATCAAATCAGTGCTGTCTGCAGTGTGATTGCTGCTTTAGTGGCACCAGGGAGAGGAGTTAATTAAACCCAATATAAATAGACTCTGCCCTCACTTTGCAATTCCAGGAGTGTTTTTCCTTCCTGTCCTCCACCCCCACAGGCACCTCTTTCCTCTTGTCCCCCTAAGCTCTAGCCTGGGTGAGCAGGGCTGGATACTCCTATACCTAGAGTCACTAGCCACTGCCCAGTCTGTTTCAGGAGCAGGCCTCAGATTCCTCAGGGGTTAAAGTGGGAAGAACCCGTGTGTGCACATTTTTTGTGCTTTTCCAGAACTGTGTACCATTTGGCAGTTGATCAGGCAATCTCCCCTGCTACCCCATTTCTACCCCTTTGTTTCCAGCCTCTTTTTTCCTCTGCAACCAAGGTTTCTTGTTTATCCAAGGTGGGGAGCTGAACTGAGACAAGGTATGGAAAGGGTGCCTGGCAGGTAGCAAGCACCTTGTAGGGGGTCAGAAATGTTGCACCTTCTCTGAACTCCTCCATTGACCCTACAGATTCCCCAGTCCCGGGCCCTGCCCTTTCCCTCATTCACTCAGCAGGCATCAGCAGAGTCCCATCTATGCGCTCCTGGCCTCTCAGCAAATGCTCTGTCCCCTACTCCCCTATCTGTGCAGGCTGAAGCTATGTGCATAGTTGGGATGAGGGCTGTGTTGTCTCAACACCACGCTGCCCTGTGGTGGGGGCGTGCCGGTGGTCGTGGGTGGCTCTGACGCTCCGGCTCCGACCCACAGGCACCATGACTCCTGTGAGGATGCAGCACTCCCTGGCAGGTCAGACCTATGCCGTGCCCTTCATCCAGCCAGACCTGCGGCGAGAGGAGGCCGTCCAGCAGATGGCGGATGCCCTGCAGTACCTGCAGAAGGTCTCTGGAGACATCTTCAGCAGGTGGGTGCTGCCACTCACCCCCACCTGATGAGAGGGCCATCCCTGTCCTGGGCAATCCCAGCAACACACCCTCTGGGAGCAGCCCCCTTGGGGAATCCCGGTCCTGGGGAACCCATCTGGCTTCCCTGTGTGGGAGGGGCTGAAGTGAGAGCCCAACTTGGAAGCTTTTACTCCTGGGAGTCCGAGAGCTCACTCCCTTCCACCCCACTTAGCCTCCTGGTTTCCTGTGGTGGCTCTGCTCTCACAACTCATGCTTTTCCTCCCATTGGAGGGCCTATTCCTTCACGTTTTCCTGCAGCCAACAAATATTTACCCAGCAGTGCTCGTGTGCAAGGCAGTGTGGGAATCTCTATATATCCAGCCACGGATAAGGCAACATACCTCTCCACCTGGAGCGCACATTCTGGCAGGAGAGAAAGACCTAAATAAGCAATAGATGATTAGTTCTTCAATAACAGTTGTGACAAGGTCTATTGATAATATTTTGTAATCACTAATATTCATATAAACCGTGCACAACCATTGATTTGAGTGCATTAACTCACACTTCATGAGCAGGCACTGCCGTCATCTCATTTTATAGATGAGGAAACTGAGGCACAGAAGGGCTGAGAGACCTGGCCTAGTGACAGAGCCAGGATTCAAAGCCATAGATCATGGCCCCGGGTTATGTAGGTTATTACTGCATCTGTTCAGGGGAGATGGGGTACTGTGAGGCTCGTCATGGGAAGCCTGGCTTGGTCTCAGGTCAGGGAAGGCAGACGTGAGGAAATGACATTTATGGTAAAGTCTGAGGGTTGAGTGGGTAGGTTGGGAAGAACATTCCAGAAAGAAGCACATGAACTACAGCCTGGAGGTGGAGGACCTAAAAGGAAGCCAGCATGGCTGGAGCACGGAGTGGCCATTGAGGGAGGCGAGCTGGAGGGCTGCAGCTTCTTGTATTGGCAGTGCTGACCTCGCACAGTCCTTGGGCTCCAGTGACTTCACTCAGTGTTTATCTAACATGAGTGAGTGAATGGTGTTTGCTCTTTTTTTGGTAAAGGTCCCAGGGGTTGTCGGGTACACAGGTCCTGTCTTTGGCCATAAGCAAACTGAAATGAGGCTTGGTCTCCTTCCCAGGATCCCACACCATGCCTCACATGGTAGACCCCAGTGGGAAGTATGTGACTGCCTGACTCAGGTGCCTCTCGTGGTCCAAGCCATCCCTGCCCTGTCCCTTCCCTGGTTGTCGCCAGACCTGGAGCCCCTGCTCCTTCACTTTGCAGCCTCCTCTTCTGTCACCAACTGGGAACCCACCTCTTCCTGAAAGTCCTCCCCCACTGACTCACCGGCTTGCCCCGAGTTTGTCAAGAATGTCCCAGTAACCAGGGGACACACAGTGAAGTGACTGAGGGGTTACCTTGGAGTTGATGCCTTGGCTCAGATCCAGCTCCCCTGTTTTCTTCCTCTGTAACCTTGGGCAACCCAACCCCTCTAAGCCTCGGTGTTCTCATTTGTGAAGTTGTGGTAATAATGGTAGCTTCCTGGTAGAATTATTTTAAATATTAAATTAATCAAAACATGCAAAGGAATGGAACAGTGCCTGGCACCTAGGAAGCCTTCAGGAAATGCTATCTCTTCCCTGTTGATAATCTTGACCCGTACACTGCCTTTGGTTGCCATTCATAAACCTGCCACCAATAGTAACAAAGTGCTGGATGCACCTTTTGTGCTTATCTTTGTGCTAAATGTGCCCGAGGGACACCTAGGGAAGAGGATGCAGGTCTTTAAGAGCCATCAGCTCCAGATTATGGCCACCCCATGTCCAGCACTTAGAATGGAGGCCAAAACCATTCCCTCGGAAATTGTGTTTCCTTGCCAAGATGGGGACTGCGTGGTTGCCCTTCTCTGAGGGCAGCGCTGGATTTTTGGCGTCTTTCCTTTCCTGTCCTGGTACTTGGCACCTTGTAGACAGTTGCATGTCCCCTGCCCAGGGATGGGATGAGGAGAGGGCAGGAAGGCATTTCCTGGGTAGTGGAGTGCTGCGTTCATTGAGTGTGGGTTCTCCAAGCTGCTGGCACAGCGCAGGGAGGGCCAGATGCCTCTCAGGAGCCTTGGGCCTGAGTCCTGGCTCCCTCACTCCTGGGTTCCAGGTCACTGCATCTGTCTCTCCACCATGTGCTCCACCTCGTGCTGGACCTTAAGAGATACCAATTATGTGGCTGCCACTGTGTCCTAGAGGCTGGAATGGGAACACATAGGGCGAGATTGATTGTTAATTGCTAGCATGAACCGCGTGGGCTTCTCAGGGTCTAGAGTGGAGAGAAATCGGTAAGAATTGGTGGCACGCCTGTCAGAACTCCCCAGACCAAGCTAAGCAAAAATTAACCAATCAGTAGAGCAGCCTTCGGAGTAAGGGCTAAAATGATGTCCTCAGGGCCTGGTTTTGCTTTCCTTCCATGTCAGTTTGCTTCTTTGGGTCTGGCTGCATTCCCAGACAGGCCATGCTCTCGTGGTAGCAAGGTGACATGACACAGGGTCAGGTCCAGCAGGAAAGAATGCTGTCCTGTGTCCCCACTTCCTCCAGAAGCCACACTCACTCATCCCACCTGGCTTGGTCCTCATGTCTATCCCAGAATCCATTAATGGGGCCAGGGGACTATGACACACCACTTGGCTTAGACTGAGGAGCTCTGTGGGCAGCCCCACCTGAAGCTCTGGGACTAAGCCTGCGAGAGAGATGGATTCCCCAAGGGAAATGGGGCCATTGCTTGAGTAAAAAGGAAATAGTTGCTGAAGAGGAAAACCACGTGCTTACTCCACATAGGGCAGACTCCTGGAAGAGGGGGGCAGGGTAGGGAGGTGGATATGCAGGTTGCCCTGGCAGGGTCTGGAAATGGGGGCTGCAGGCTTGGAGGGAGGCCTCAGTGTGGCTTGGAACGTGGTGTATGGTGGTCTGCCGCGAAGGCCGGCCTGCACAGGGGTGGGAGGGGGGTGCTTCTGCATGGGAAGCACAGACAGCGCTGCCTCTCCCTTGCACTCAGCTCTCGGGGCATGAGAGGCTGACTTTCCGTGAGCCTGTGGGCCAGGCCTCTTTGAATGGGGCTGAGGGAGCTTTGCCCTGGTTCCTTTGTGTCCCCACGGTGCCACGGGAGGCTCCCTGGCAGGGTGTGGGGCAGGGCAGTGAGTGAAGAGTTGGGATGAGTGAGTTAGGGCCCACGGATTACTCAAGACAGGACTTCAAGTTGATTCAGGCGTGTTAGGGAGCTGTGATTGGATTTTGAGCAGGGCAGGGATGGGACAGAAGAGTTTGGGGAAGGTTCCTCAGGCATCCGTCACGGAAGGGACAAGAAGGGAGAGAGAGTGGATGCCAGGGACACCCAGAAGCTGTTATTGTAGTCAGGATACGACAGGGGTGAGGCTACAGACAGGGGACTTGCAAGCAGGGAGGGCAGGGTGAGACATTCAGAGGAAACGACGACAGGAAATGGTGACAGATAGGGAACGAGGATGAAGGGAAGGGAGAGCCAGTGACGACTGGCAGTGGAGTGGGGAGCACCGCCACCTCTCCTCCTCCACTTGCCCCTCCTGTGGCACTGGACAAGCTAGTGGGCTTTTCGTTGTCCATGGGCTTTTTCGGTGGGGATGTGACCAGCTTTGAACCCGTCCCCTTAAACATGCTCCTCCTGCACGGAAGAGACAGGGGCAGGGGAGAGACTCTCTCCCCACCACCCGGCTCAGGCCCCAGCACAGCCCGGCCTCTGGCCTCACTGGCGTCTGTGCCCAGTGACGCAGGCAGGTGAGCTCCTGGCAAATTAGCATTGCAGGCTGTGCTCTCTCCTCCTGCTCTGCTGCAGCTGGGAGTGTGCAGAGACTGGAGGGGATGACAGTCACCCTCTGTTTTCTGTGGTGGCTCTGTTTTCTGTGGTGCTGGATGCACCTCTGTTTTCTGTGGTGGCTCCAAGAGAGTGCACGGTCCCTGCTGATTGAAAGAAGGATGAAGGGCAGAAGAGGGGCGGGGAGCTGTGTGCCCTAAGATCTCATTGCCTTTTTATGCCGATTAACATGCTTTTAGCCCCTACTGAGCTTATAGTTAACAGAAGTTTCCAGGTCTTTCTTCACCTGAACTGTGTCTAAAGCAAGTTCCCTCCACCTTCTGTATTTATACGCTTGATTTTTAAAACCTAAATGTTGGGCTTCACATTTGTTCCTTGTAAATTTCATCTTGGTGATTGCAGTCTACCCTCTGGCCTTTAAAAATTGTCTGAGCCTTGATTCGATCATGAAACCAGCTTACCCTTCCCCTGTGTGCTGGCCCCAGTTTTCTAACCAGGTGTTGAATGAACTGGATGGACTCTGCCAGATCCCTCCGTGCAAGGCTGGAATCAGTCCATTGTTCAACTGTGCCCTTTGGGGCTGTGGTTCATTTGGCTCTGATTTTTCCTATATGTTCTCTCCTCCAACCCCCATAGCTCCATCTTGTCTACAAGATTTTGTTAGAAGCCGTCAAAATCCTGCTGACTCGAGATGCACTGTGCTGCATGTTTTCCCCGGGCACAGCAGGCTAATAATCCTGTTACAAAGAGAAATGCTGTACATTTCGAGCAGTGCTGGCCCCTGGGACTCACCGCGGCCTTTTCTAAGTGCTTACAGACTCTCTGTTTAATAATCCATTCCAGAAATTTTCCAGGGCTCATTGTTGAGCTTGGTGTTCGCAACTTTGAGTGATCAGCCCTTCTCCTTTGTGGGAGCACCAGGACAGAGCAGCCTTTGTCCCTCCCCAGTCTCAGTTCCCTCCCACTGCCCCTGTGGACCTCGAATGCAGAGCTTATGCACCTACCGAAGGTCGTGTCAGCACCCAAGGCAGAACGAGGCTGCCCTGGGAACTAGGGTCAATTAAGACAGCTTGTGCTGGAGGACCCTTTACAGCAGATGAAGGCCTCTCCCCAGCCAGAAAAGATGGAGCACACGCTGGGTGGTGGTCCCGCTTCCTCACTGGAAGGAGATGGTGCTCTTCTTTTTTCTTTCTGAATTGTGGCCACCTTCATACCAGTCTGTCATGGAACACTTAAGCCGCTTGAGTGCCTGCTGGTACTCCCAGCCCTGCCATGCCTGAGCCCCCTGCACACAAGGAGCCAGGAGTAATCAGGGCAGACCCTTTAGGGCACGGGGACTTCTGGATTGTGAAATTGGCTCTCTGGGGGCCAAGGCCTTCTAACGTTGGTGGAAGTGGCTTTGGCTTATTGGGTCGGATTCTAGGCCATTCATTCCAACCTTTAGAGACATCCCAGCTTTCCCTAGCCCAGAGTCTGCAGCCCCTCCACCATCCCACATCCTCCCCCTCCCTTTCCTCATGAACCCCAGTCGCGCCTCTGCCTTCTCAAACCCCTCCACCATCCCACACCCTCCTCCTGCCCTTCCTCATGAACCCCAGTCGCGCCTCTGCCTTCTCATCCCTGCGCACCACACAGGCTCGCTCGTGCCCGGTGAGTGCTGAGGCTGCTCTGCACGTGGAGTGTGGCCCTGTGGGCAAGGGCTGGGCTCTTGGAGGTAGGGGAGCTACAGGGGCGACTGGGAGGAGGATGTTGTGTTACACACGCATCAGAGTTAACTTTGCAGTGAGAGCGGCCTTGCTGCGGCCAAAGAACATGGAAAAGCATGAGTGGGGTGATGTGCCTTAAAGCATCAGACACTTGGGCCTCGGGCATCAGGAGCCAGCCACAGGGATGTCTGGGGAAATGGCGTTCCATGAGATGCAAGCACACAAGAATGCACTTGGCACATCTGGGGAACAGCAGGCAGCTGATATCACTGGGCCCACCCCGCACCAGGGAGGATGGAAGCAGGTGAGGAGCTAGACCACACTGAGGCGGTGGTCGGGACTCGGGGTTTGCTCAGTGAGCCGTTCAGTATGTGCAGGGGCAGTTCCCCGTCTGAATTTAGGTGACGACACTCAGGTCCAGCCTTGCCAGTCTCAGCCTCCGGTCTCCGTTCCCCCTCTGCAGAGGCCACATTGTCTGCTGCACGTGATCATGAGGGGTTGTGAAGTGCTTGCCCCATCAGTAGCCATGTGTGCATGTGTAAATACCATCCTCTGTGTGCCCTGGAGGCTGTCCTTCAGATAGCATGTACAGGTGGCAGCATAGGGCCTGTCCCTACTGAGAGTGCAGGGAACTCAGCACCGTCAACTCCTCGACCCTGCAGGTCAGATTATCCTTGTAGAGGCCCCCTGGATGGCACCAAGATCGGCCCTGGCAAGTAGGTGACCCTGACTTCAGAGCCCTTGCCTGAGGGCCTGGCCTGGCAGCTCTGCTGTTAGAAGCAGGAGGTGTGCAGAGGGTGGGGAGCAGCCCAGCCTCTGTGATCTTCTCCATGGCAGGATCTCCCAGCAGGTAGAGCAGAGCCGGAGCCAGGTGCAGGCCATTGGAGAGAAGGTCTCCTTGGCCCAGGCCAAGATTGAGAAGATCAAGGGCAGCAAGAAGGCCATCAAGGTAGTCCCCATACCCCTGTGTCCTGAGGCTACTGGGCAGTCCCTCCATTTCCCCGTGCCTCTGAGGCTGCCCAGTCTCTGCCCTGCTGCCCACCTGTACCTTGAGCTTTCTTCTCGCCCAGGCTTCCAACTCCACCCTCTCCTGCCAAGCAATCCTAGCCCTCTGAGCCTCTTGGGGCCCCCTCAGACTTGTCCCTGTGTCCACAGGTGTTCTCCAGTGCCAAGTACCCTGCTCCAGGGCGCCTGCAGGAATATGGCTCCATCTTCACGGGCGCCCAGGACCCTGGCCTGCAGAGACGCCCCCGCCACAGGATCCAGAGCAAGCACCGCCCCCTGGACGAGCGGGCCCTGCAGGTCTGCTGGCCGCGCATATAGCCTGTCACACACCAGGAGGACTGGATACTGGGGAGGAGCCGGGGCCACCATAGGGTTCTGTCCCCCAGAGGAGGCTGACTGGGATGGGATGGCAGCTGATTAGGCCCAGCACCAAATATTCACCATCCCTTGGCCATCCTGGCCCTCTCAGGAGAAGCTGAAGGACTTTCCTGTGTGCGTGAGCACCAAGCCGGAGCCCGAGGACGATGCAGAAGAGGGACTTGGGGGTCTTCCCAGCAACATCAGCTCTGTCAGCTCCTTGCTGCTCTTCAACACCACCGAGAACCTGTATGGCCAGAGGGCAGGGCCGAGGGGTGTGGGCGGGAGGCCCGGCCTGGCTTAGTGGGGACCCAGGGCATCAGACACAGGTACAGCACATAGGCCAGGAGCCAGGGGGTGACGGGTGGCTCGGCTCGGGAGGCCTGGGACCCCACAGTGCACGCTGTGCCCCTGATGATGTGGGAGAGGAACATGGGCTCAGGACAGCGGGTGTCAGCTTGCCTGACCCCCATGTCGCCTCTGTAGGTAGAAGAAGTATGTCTTCCTGGACCCCCTGGCTGGTGCTGTAACAAAGACCCATGTGATGCTGGGGGCAGAGACAGAGGAGAAGCTGTTTGATGCCCCCTTGTCCATCAGCAAGAGAGAGCAGCTGGAACAGCAGGTGGGAGGGGTGGGACAGAGGTGGAGACAGGTGCAGTGGCCCAGGGCCTTGCCAGAGCTCCTCTCCAGTCAAGGCTGTTGGGCCCCTTATTCCACCCATGGGAGGTGCACACAAGGTCTTGTTGGCTGCCCCTGCAGGTCCCTGTCACCTCTCACATGTCCCTGCCTAATCTTGCAGGTCCCAGAGAACTACTTCTATGTGCCAGACCTGGGCCAGGTGCCTGAGATTGATGTTCCATCCTACCTGCCTGACCTGCCCGGCATTGCCAACGACCTCATGTACATTGCCGACCTGGGCCCCGGCATTGCCCCCTCTGCCCCTGGCACCATTCCAGAACTGCCCACCTTCCACACTGAGGTAGCCGAGCCTCTCAAGGTAGGTGAGCTGGGTTCTGGGATGGGAGCTGGGCCGGGGACCTCCCTGGTCACACACCTTCTTCCCTAGACACCCCACACTTTGTGTTTCAGACCTACAAGATGGGGTACTAACACCACCCCCACCGCCCCCACCACCACCCCCAGCTCCTGAGGTGCTGGCCAGTGCACCCCCACTCCCACCCTCAACCGCGGCCCCTGTAGGCCAAGGCGCCAGGCAGGACGACAGCAGCAGCAGCGCGTCTCCTTCAGGTGGGAGCAGCTCTTTGAGGCCACCTGATTTCTGGCGTGCTCAGTGCACTCGGGTGGATTTTCTGTGGGTTTGTTAAGTGGTCAGAAATTCTCAATTTTTTGAATAGTTTCCATTTCAAATATCTTGTTCTACTTGGTTCATAAAATAGTGGTTTTCAAACTGTAGAGCTCTGGACTTCTCACTTCTAGGGCAGAGGGAGCCTGAACAAGTGAGGCTCTGGGTTCCCCATTCCTAATTAAACCAATGGAAAGAAGGGGTCTAATAACAAACTACAGCAACACATTTTTCATTTCAGCTTCACTGCTGTGTCTCCCAGTGTAACCCTAGCATCCAGAAGTGGCACAAAACCCCTCTGCTGGCTCGTGTGTGCAACTGAGACTGTCAGAGCATGGCTAGCTCAGGGGTCCAGCTCTGCAGGGTGGGGGCTAGAGAGGAAGCAGGGAGTATCTGCACACAGGATGCCCGCGCTCAGGTGGTTGCAGAAGTCAGTGCCCAGGCCCCCACACACAGTCTCCAAAGGTCCGGCCTCCCCAGCGCAGGGCTCCTCGTTTGAGGGGAGGTGACTTCCCTCCCAGCAGGCTCTTGGACACAGTAAGCTTCCCCAGCCCTGCCTGAGCAGCCTTTCCTCCTTGCCCTGTTCCCCACCTCCCGGCTCCAGTCCAGGGAGCTCCCAGGGAAGTGGTTGACCCCTCCGGTGGCTGGCCACTCTGCTAGAGTCCATCCGCCAAGCTGGGGGCATCGGCAAGGCCAAGCTGCGCAGCATGAAGGAGCGAAAGCTGGAGAAGCAGCAGCAGAAGGAGCAGGAGCAAGGTGAGCGGGCCCTGGAGCTTGCAGTCGGAGGGCCTTGGGCAAGATCGCCTCCTCCCCTCCAGCCCTGAGTCCACCGGGTGCTTTCTGCCCACCCCCTGCTCTTGCCAGCTGGCCCCTGCTTCCCCTAGGGCACATGCTGGAAGCCCTGGGCCGCCACCAGAGGTCCTCAGCCCTCCTGCCTGGGCTATGGCTCCTTCCTGGTTTGGGAGCCATAGTGGAGCTTTCCTCTCTAAGCTCACCCAGCTCAAACTGACAGGAGAATCTTCTTCGACTGCCAAGAGCGGTCCAAGGCAATGGTCAGCCACTGCAGCCTCCTGAGATATTTTTAGAGACTGGACCTGAGGCCTCTGGAGGCTACTGATGATGCCTGCTGTGAACGCAGACACTGGTGTGATGCGATGCCTGCGCCTGCAGCGGCAGTGCCCTGGGCACTATGGTTTTGAGCTTGTACCCAGCGCTGCTTTTGCCTTGCTCTGTGACCCCAGGCAAGCTGCCTCACCTCTCTGGGCCAGTTTCCCCATTGTACAGTGGTGCTGCACACCCTGGCCCTGGCCCCGAGGTGGCTGGGAGGTGGCTCCTCAAACAGCCGCTGTCTCATCAGTGCCCGGTGCTGGGTCAGGGATCGACTGAGGCTCTGAGCTAACTGGGAAACACAGTGGCCTTGGAGGGCTGGGGAGTGTCATGGGGGTGGGGACAGGGAGTCACCGGTCGCATGTGACTGAACTCTTCACCCCAGTCTGTGGCTTTCCCGTTGCAGTGAGAGCCACGAGCCAAGGTGGGCACTTGATGTCGGATCTCTTCAACAAGCTGGTCATGAGGCGCAAGGGTAGGAGGCAGGGCCGCTGCCCGCCCTGGGCCAGCACCTTGTAATTCTGTCCTGCCTTTTTCTTCCTGTATTTAAGTCTCCGGGGGCTGGGGGAACCAGGGTTTCCCACCAACCACCCTCACTCAGCCTTTTCCCTCCAGGCATCTCTGGGAAAGGACCTGGGGCTGGTGAGGGGCCCGGAGGAGCCTTTGCCCGCGTGTCAGACTCCATCCCTCCTCTGCCGCCACCGCAGCAGCCACAGGCAGAGGAGGACGAGGACGACTGGGAATCGTAGGGGGCTCCATGACACCTTCCCCCCCAGACCCAGACTTGGGCCGTTGCTCTGACATGGACACAGCCAGGACAAGCTGCTCAGACCTACTTCCTTGGGAGGGGGTGACGGAACCAGCACTGTGTGGAGACCAGCTTCAAGGAGCGGAAGGCTGGCTTGAGGCCACACAGCTGGGGCGGGGACTTCTGTCTGCCTGTGCTCCATGGGGGGACGGCTCCACCCAGCCTGCGCCACTGTGTTCTTAAGAGGCTTCCAGAGAAAACGGCACACCAATCAATAAAGAACTGAGCAGAAACCAACAGTGTGCTTTTAATAAAGGATCTCTAGCTGTGCAGGATGCAAACGTCTCGGGGTCAGTGACTGCCTCCTGCCCCTGTTGGTCCCTAGGCAGTGGGGGCAGAAGCTCCCAGCTGACCTGTTTCTCTGGGATGAGAGGGAGGAGAGAAGGGCAGTCAGCAGGGGCAGCTGTTGCAGATGGGAGGAATAGTCTCCCACAAAAAAGGTTTCAGTGACAGACACGGGGTCTCTAAAAATAGTCATGCTGAGAGCCTAATGGCCCTTGGCACAATTGCTGGTGTTGGGGTAGAAGATGTCTTGGAGTTTGCTCAAGTGGTTGAGAGGGAGGGAGGTGCCATCGACTTGGAGGAACTGGCACCAAGCCAGGGAGATAGAAATCCAGGCAAGGCTGTGGGGCAGGTTAGGGAGCAAGGCTGCAGGAATGACTCAGGAAGAAGGTGGGGGAGGTGACAAGCCCCCAGGCAGGGGCCCTGTGGCCATGGGGATCTTCTTAAATTGAGACTAGGGGGTGAATAGTCCAGGGCAGCTAACTTTAGTTATTATAGAAAGGGCAGTAGCAGATGGGTCTGCTCCGTCTCGCTTCTAAGAAGGTGGGCAGGACAAATGGCAGCCTCCTGCAGAGGCCCAGTGAGAAGCCTGGCCCTCGGCCACGCAGGATGGAAGACAGATTGGATTCCACAGAGGGGAGCTGCCCTGGGAAGATCTCACGGATGGCCAGGACCCACCATTTCTTCGGGATTCCCCTGTTTTCTCCAACGGGCACTAATGCCTGTGCCTGGGTCCTGGCAACACTCTGGACTCCACACTCTCCTGGGTTTCACCTTTGTAGCAGGATCCCTGCAGACCAGGCCCATGACAAACACCGTCTCCAGCGGGCAGAGCAAAGGAAGGGCACAGCGCCAGGCAGTGGTGCAGCTGCCTGTCAGGAAGAGGCCTACTTCTGGTGAAACTGGGCAGACAAAAGGCAGTGAGAAATGTGATCTCGGGGTGGTGGAGGCTCTAGGGAAAGGAAAAGGCAGGAGTGAACTTCCACACAGCAGCAATGGCAGAACCAAAGGTGGCTTTGACCTCCACCAGGGCTCAGATCCAGGCCAACAGCGTGTCCAGGACAGGGTGCCGGGTGTATCACTGGTCCAGGAGCACTATGCTGGCAGAATCCCTTTGGTGCCTGATGGCCCTGCCTTCGTGGGAACAGAGGCTAAGGCTTTGAGTTACAGCTGCCTCCCCAACAGTGCATCCCCTTCTCCTTCCTCAGCCTCAGGTAGGAGACAGGGCAGGCAACCTCACTTTCCTCTTCTCCCCTTCTCCAGCCCCTGTCTGTCGACCCAGCTGGAGGCAGCCAGGCTTGCCTATGGACTGGTTGACAGCCTTCATGCACAGGTTCTCCACCAGAGCCTTTCTTGGGGGCCCCTGGCCTGGGCTCTGAGCTGGGAGTGAAGGGGATGACCCATGCAGACTGTTTGCTGCTTGTAGCTTTCCCTGGGAAAGACTCTGCCAGGCCTTGGAGCCAGACTAGGAGGCTTTATAGGCCACCGCAAGCAGCAGGGCTCCAGATGACATCACAGGGAAGATCAAGAGGGTGTGGAGGGGCATCGAAGCCTCTCCAGGAGACAGGAGACGCCGGCCCCGTAGAGCCCTAGGGGCGACGCCACTCCCACTCACTGTCTACTCTCCTCTCACCTCTGCAACACTGGGGACACTCACAAGAGTGTGATCCAAGTCGGCCGTCGTCTTCTGCAGCTCTGGAGACCTGATGCTGGGGAAGGGCATGCCTGGCATCACCACACACCTGGGGGGAGACAGGAGCCTGGGGCCGGTGGGCCCACACATCACCAGCTGCTCCGTTCTACCATTTCTTCAGCCCTCTTGGCTGTGCCTGCGGCTCTGCCCCTCCCGTCTCTGCACCTACCACCCAGAGAGGGCTTGTTGAGCTCAGAGATCCCACCTAGGCCAATCCACTGGGTTCTGTGGCAGCGATGGCCTGCCTGATCTTCCACCTGCTCTCCCAGGGCCAAAGCCAGACCTGCTGAGCCCCTCCCTCCAGCCGGCTGGTCTGAGCAGTCACAGCCCGGCTTTGGGCTCCGATGGCAGCAGACGGCAGGTAGGGGTCCAGCTGCTGGAGCGAGGGCCGGCCACGTATCACAGCCAAGGAGATGAGCACAAGCACTACTTACTGGCCTAGGTTGTGAGAGAAGTTGATGCTCTCACTCATCTTTCCTCCAATCTTTCCCCTATGCCTGGTTGTGGTATTAAGTTACATGCAGACAACAGGGGCCAGAAGATGAACAATGGCCCATCCCACTCTAGGCATGGCTCCTCTCCACAGGAAAACTCCACTCCAGTGCTCAGCTTGCACCCTGGCACAGGCCAGCAGTTGCTGGAAGTCAGACACCTGCAGATGAAGACCACAGCATCAAGACCCTGTGACCTCTCAAAGGCCCGGTGGAAAGGACACGGGAAGTCTGGGCTAAGAGACAGCAAATACACATGAACAGAAAGAAGAGGTCAAAGAAAAGGCTGACGGCAAGTTAACGAAAAGAAAAATGGTGAATGATACCCGGTGCTGGCAATCTCGTTTAAACTACATGCAGGAACAGCAAAGGAAATCCGGCAAATTTGCGCAGTCATTCTCAACACCGGCCATGCAGCAAAATCATCAGTGGAAATTTAAAAAAATACACATGGCCAGGCCCCAGCCCAAATCACTAATAAGAATCTCCAGGGCTTCACCTGTTAGACTGGCAAAAATCCAAAAGTAAACACTTTGTGGAGAAACAGGCATTCCTAGACATTGCTGGTGGGATACAGAACAGTACAATTCTGATGGTAATCAGTTCACAAATTAAACATATTTATTTTTTACTTTTAAACCCAGGAATCCCATATTTAGGAGTCTACTGAGACCAAACAGCATATGCTCCGGGTGTTTCCCTATAATCCGCCAGTACTGTTGGAGCAAGAGGGCCCGGCAGTGTCCCCAGCTGCCAGCAGGTGGGCGTGCTGCCACTACACCTTGAGCAAGAGGACCCTGCAATGTCCCTAGCTGCCAGCAGGCGGCGTGCCACCACTATACAGTAAGCAAGAGGGCCCTGCAGTGCCCCGGCGCCAGCAGGGGGCGCTGGCCACCACTCTAAGCAAGAGAGCCCTGCAGTTGCCCTAGTCGCCAGCAGGGGGCGCCCTGGCACAGCACCGTGAGCAAGCGGGTCCTGTAGTGCCCGGCTGCAAGCAAGGGGCGGTCGATCCCGGCTTTTCGGATTACTGAGGTTCTACCCGTCTCTGCGCCGCGCCACCGTGACGTGAGTTTCTGCGCGTGCACGGCGCCACCCTCCCCCCGCCCCAGCCCGGCGCCGTGCGACTTTGCTCCTGCAACACACGCCCCCCCAACCCCCGCCCGTAGGCTTGCGTCTCTGCGCCTGCGCCACGCCTCCACCCCTGGACGCGCTAGCATGTGTCTCTGCGCCTGCGCCGGCGCGGTGCGCCTCTCTGCGCCTGCGCCACGCCTCCACCCCTGGACGCGGTAGCATGTGTCTCTGCGCCTGCGCCGGCGCGGCGCGCCTCTCTGCGCCTGCGCCACGCCTCCACCCCGACGCGCTAGCATGTGTCTGCGCCTGCGCCGGCGCGGCGCGCCTCTCTGCGCCTGCGCCGGCGCGGCGCGCCTCTCTGCGCCTGCGCCGGCGCGGCGCGCCTCTCTGCGCCTGCGCCGGCGCGGCGCGCCTCTCTGCGCCTGCGCCGGCGCGGCGCGCCTCTCTGCGCCTGCGCCGGCGCGGCGCGCCTTTGCAACGGCGGAGTTGCGTTCTCCTCAGCACAGACCCGGAGAGCACCGCGAGGGCGGAGCTGCGTTGTCCTCTGCACAGATTTCGGTGGTACTCTGAAGGCGGAGCACAGTTCTCCTCAGGTCAGACCCGGGCGGGCGGGCCGGCTGAGGGTACCGCGAGGGTTAGGGTTAGGGTTAGGGTTAGGGGTTAGGGTTAGGGTTAGGGTTAGGGTTAGGGTTAGGGTTAGGGGTTAGGGGTTAGGGTTAGGGTTAGGGTTAGGGTTAGGGTTAGGGTAGGGTTAGGGTTAGGGTTAGGGGTTAGGGTTGGGGTTGGGGTTGGGGTTGGGGTTGGGGTTGGGGTTAGGGTTAGGGTTAGGGTTAGGGTTAGGGTTTAGGGTTTAGGGTTAGGGTTAGGGGTTAGGGTTAGGGTTAGGGTTAGGGTTAGGGTTAGGGTTAGGGTTAGGGTTAGGTTAGGGTTAGGGTTAGGGTTAGGGTTAGGGGTTAGGGTTAGGGTTAGGGTTAGGGTTAGGGTTAGGGTTGGGTTAGGGTTAGGGTTAGGGTTAGGGTTAGGGTTAGGGTTAGGGTTAGGGTTAGGGTTAGGGTTAGGGTTAGGGTTAGGGTTAGGGTTAGGGTTAGGGTTAGGGTTA